>NW_003571061.2:363078-509415 GCF_000001405.40 Homo sapiens | reverse complement strand
GGACAATATTTCATCACAATTATTCGGGATGGACGAGTGGATATTGTGGTAGCAAGAACATTACTAAAAGTCACAGCTGATACAACACACTTGAAACCCATCTGGCCAATCTCCCACAGACAGAATGTCGCGCCATTCACTCCAGCCAGCTTCAGTCATGTTTCTTCCATTTCCACCTGTGGCCCCTCATGTCTCCACCAGGTCTTAGCCAGCATTGCCAAAAGAGCCAGGAAGACCAGACCAGCCACAACAATCCTGATGGAACTCTCCACAGTATAGTTCTGGAGAACAGGGGCTGGAGGGTGGGGGTAAGATCAGAGACCTTTCCATGTGGGCCAGGCCCCTCTCTCCCCAGAAGCTCTGAAATGGAGCTATTTCCCCATCTCACCTTCATAAAATTCTTCCTGTCCAGAACCCCTCTTCTCCCTATATCATCATGAGCACCTTCAGAAGTCTTTTGCCACAAAAAGAAATTTCTTTTGAAGATATACATTTTTTTGTACATTTCAAAAATGTTCCCAAACTAATTCTCCAAAGCAATAAATGTTTGTGTGTATTGCTGGGTAGGTTATGCATACAAGGAAAGGAAGCATAGTGAGTCTGATTTGGCAGAGGAAACATATGTGGAAATTATATCATTTACTCTCTTTACAAAATTAAGTACAAAATTGAAAACACTGGTAAGAAAGAATGAGCTATAGAGAAAGAAAACATCTGAGATGCTTGTTTCCAAGATGGCTGACTAAATGCTTTTCTGGCATGTCTCATCCACTTAGAAGAACGAGCAGAATCCAGAACAAAAACCATATGATCATCTCAATAGACATAAAGAAAAGCATCTGAAAAGAAATTCAACATCCTTACCTGATGAAAACCCTCAAAAACTTAGGCATAGAAAGAACATACCTCAAAATAATAAAAGCCATAGATGACATATCTAGAGTCAACATCATACTGAACAGGAAAAGTTAAAAGCACTCCTCTGAGAACTGGCACAAGACAAGGACACGGACATCCACCACTTCCTATCAACATAGTACTGGAAGCCTTGTCAGAGCTATTGGGCAACAGGAAGAATTAAAAATCCAAATTAGAAAAGAGGAAGTAAAATTATTTTTATTTCTGATGCTATGATCTTAAATCTAGAAAATCCTAAAGACCCTGCCAAAAATTCTTATGATTGATAAATGAACTAAGTAAAGTTTCAGAATACAAAATCAATATGTAAAAGCCAGTAGCATTTCTCTACACCTATAATGATCTAGCTGAGAACCAAATCAAGAAGGCAATGCCGTTTACAATAGATACGCAAAATTAAAACACTCAGGAATACATTTAACCAAGGTGGTGAAAGAGCTGTACCAGGAAAGGTGTAAGACACCAATGAAAGCAATTATAGATAATACAAAAAAAAAAAAGAAAAAAAATCCCACGCTCATGGATCATAAGAATTAATATTGTTAAAATGACCATACTGCCTAAAGCAATCTACAGATTCAGTGCAATTCTTATATGAAAATAGTAACACCAGCTTTCACAGAATTAGAAAAAGCAATCCTAAAATTCATACAGAACCAAAAAAGATCCTAATAGAGAAAGCAATTCTAGGTGAATGTAGAAACCTGGAGGCATCACGCTATCTGACTTCAAACTATGCTCTAAGGCTATAGTAACTTAAATAGCACAGTGCTGGTATAGACACAGAAACAGAGATCAATAGACCAGAATAGAGAGCCCAGAAATACAGCCTCATATCTACAGTGAATAATCATTGACGACGTTAACAAAACATACACTGGAGAAAGATTTCCTTTTCAATAAAAGGTGCTGGGAAAACTAAATAGCCATATGCAGAAGAATAAAACTGGACCTGTATCTGTAATCATACACATAAATTAACTTAAGGTAATTAGCAGCTTAAATGTAAATCCAGAACTATAAAATCACCGGTGGAAACCCAAAGAGAAACTCTTCTGGGCATTGGTCTGGGCAAAGAATTCATCACTAAGACCTCAAAAGCACAGGCAATAAAAATAAAACTAGACCAATGGGACTTAATAAACGAAAGAGCTTCTGCCAAGCAAAGGAAATAGTAGCAGGGTGAACAGACAACCCACAGAATGAATGGAAATGTTTGCAAACTATGCACCCAACAGAGGACTAACATCCAGAATTTCTAGGCAACTCAAACAACTAAACATAACCCCTCAAATAATAGCATTAAAAAGTGGGCAAAGGGATATACATAGACATTTTTCAAAAGAAGACATACGAATGGCCAAACAGCGTATGAACATCACTAATCATCAGAGAAATGCAAATTGAAACCACAATGAGATATCATCTTACAGTAGTCAGAATGGCTATTACTAAAAATGCTGGTGGGGAGTGGTGGCTCACGCTTGTAATCCCAGCACTTTGGGAAGCTGAGGCGGGTGGATCATGAGGTCAGGAGTTTGAGACCAGCCTGACCAACATAGTGAAACCCCATCTCTACTAAATATACAAAAGATTAGCTGGGCATGGTGGTGTGGTTCTGTAATCCCAGCTACTCAGGAGGCTGAGGCAGGAGAATCATTTGAACCTGGTTGGTGGAGGTTGCAGCGCGTGGAGATGGCGGCACTGCACTCCAGCCTGGGTGACAGTGGAAGACTCCATCTCAAAAAGAAAAAAAGAAAAAGTGAAACATATAACAGGTGTTGGCAAGGATGCAGAGAAAAGGAAACTCTTATACACTGTTGGCCGGTATGTAAATTAGTATAGCCTCTATGGAAGACAGTATGGAAATTTGGCAGAGAACCAAAAATAGAAGCACCATTCGATCTAGGGGTCCCGCTGCTGGGTATCTACTCAAAAAATACCTGCACCTGTATGTTTATTGCAGCACTGTTTGCAATAGCAAAGATATGAAATCAATCTAAGTGTCTGTGAATGAATGATTGGATTAAAAAAAGGATGCGTGTATACACAACGAAATACTATTTGGTCATAAAAATAAAACCATGTCTTTTGCAGCAACATAGATGGAGCTGGACGCCATTATTTTACATAAAACCACTCAGAAAGACAAATACCACATCTTCTCACTCTACATGGGAGGGGAGTAATGTGTACATATGGACGTAGAGTGTGGAATGACGGACAGCGGAGGCTAGAAGGCTGGAGGGTGGCGGGACGTGGGTGAGTGATGAGAATTTGCTTAATGAGTACAATGTACGGTATTTGGGTGATGGATATAGTAAAAGTCCTGACTTCACTACTCTGCAACATACTCATGTCACAAAATTACAAGTGTACCTCATAAATTTATACTAATAGAAAAGAAAGTCTGTACACAGTAATCAATTGTGATATGTAGATAAAGTCAATATTAAATTTAAACCAGAATAACTAGTTAAAATGTTGTGTACACAACAGTGAAGAGAGTATTTATCCTCTATGACAGAGGAAACCATCAATATTAATGCACAGAAAAAGCAAATAACTGAAACAAGAAAGAGCAGTTTTGTGACAGGGTAAAAATTGACAACAGTTTTAGAATGCTCCTAACTTGAGTTCCAAAAAGAAAGAACGAGAAAACAGGTCAGAAGCAATCTTTAAAGAGGCAATTGTTGATTATTTGGAGGAAGTAGACACATCCATCAATCCACAGGTTCAAGAAATCCAGTGAATGCCAGGCAGAATGAAGTAAACACACCTCACGTTCAACATTACAGAAAAGCAGCATAAAAGCACAACCAACCCTTAAAATTAGCCAGAGGAAAAGGATCAGCTGGTAAGGATTTATAGGGAGCCAAGCATTGTCTTCCCCACAGAAAAAAGGAAAACATAAGCCAGTAGAATAGCATCTTTACCCAGCTAAGATACCGTCGCCAGCCACCGACAATTCCTTACATAGTACAGTTACTGTCCAAGATCAACGCAGGAAAGAAACAGAACTGAAAGACAAAAGGGCAAAGAAAGCTTTTCTCACTGACCCTAAAGGAAATTCTGATGACCGTGCCTCAAAGATAAAGAAAGTGAAACCAGATGGGGTGTCGAAGATTCTGACAATAACTAAGAGCAGAGGAAGAACTAAAAATATGGCTATGCCAAAAATGAATATGGACCATACGATAGTGTATGAAAACACGCCCCTGTGTAATTTCTGAAAAAGATAGAATTATGTATACCACAAAACAAAACATCATATAAGTAAATACAAACATATGTACTAAATATGCTCTAAAATCCTGTTCTTACACAGGAAGAGTGGAAATATGTTTTTATATTTGCAGTTTAATCTCTGAAATGATTAATTTCAATTTTAAAAATATGTAACAACTTCAGGATGAGTACACCATATATGTATTCCTAAACGACATAGATCAAAAATAGAATGTTTGAAATAGAAAACCACAGAAGTCAGTGGGAAAAAAAGGGAATCAGGAAAACACAACGTAATAATAACAAAAATATGATTGGAAGAACTGCTCAAACATGAACAAAAGATTGTCAGAAAGTCTTACTTTCTAAGGCGAATTGTTTGAAATTTACAAAGGACACATCTCAATGTTAACAATTCATGGAGTTTGAAATTAAACAATGTAGAAATATACCAAGCAATCACTGTTAGAAATGTGGTATAACTATATTAAAATTAGACAAAATTAGTCTTTGGGAAAAATCAGCGGAAAACATTAAGCATAAAATGTAGGAAAAAAGCAGGTAAATTTATAGCATTTTAAATTTACCAGGAATATATAATCAGTTTACACTTAACCACTCCCAGTAATATTCCTGCAAATATACATGGAGGAAGAGTCGCGGAAATAAATGGACAGGTAGGCAAATCCACGGCCACAGTGGGGTGTTTAACACTCCTCTTTTCTCAGTTGTTGATAGAAGTGGTTCAGGCAATTAGAGAGGATTTAGAAAGATAATTGCTGGACCTGACCCAAGGTATAAGTCCACTCCCAACCACAGGACTCACTTTCCTTACAAGCACAAGGGCATTTAGAAATCTCTCTGGATTCTGACCAGCCCTCACCATATGGCAGGTCCATGGACTTCTTGGAACACACCAAGCTCATTCTCACATTAGGGTCATCCCCAATGTCCTAAGTCCATGAAAGTTCCTTTCAACACACTCCCCAGGGCTCACTCCCTCTTGTCTCTAAGATCGGAGTTTAAATGTGATCTCTCTGATGAGGTCTCAGTGAGACGTTCCCTCCTGTACACTCCAAATGACAACGTTCCACGTTCATTCATTTCATTCTGTGCATGGCACTTTCACCAAGTGCTAAGGATTCACTCACTAATTCATACATTCATTCATTCATTCATTCACTCATTCCATCATTCACTCATTCATTCATTCTCTCATTCATTCATTCATGTTCTGCCTCTCTCTCCCACCCCACAGCAATGTGAGCATCATGAACCCAGGAGCTTGGCCGTGCTGTCTACTCCTGGCCATGAAACAGAGAGAACTGATGGTAGGTGTGAAATAAATATTAGATGAATGAGTTAGTGAAGGGGTCATTTACTGGGTGAGCTCAGTTCTCTCTACTCTAATGCCCTCCCTCGGCTGACTTCCCTGAGTTGCCCCCTCGGCTGAGTGAAGTCCCTTCACTGGCAAATGGAACCTCAACCAGTAGCACCTAGGTGGTCTCATACTTTGTTCTTTCCCTCTCCTCTTGCTCCCTAAGGATTATCAATCTCCATGACAGGGCTGGAGAGCAGACAAGCCACACATTCTTTCTGGGGAGAGAGTAACATGGAGTACAAGGCATTCCACATTTAGGAAGAGAACTCAGTTATGGAAGGTCAGAAATGAAAAGTTCCTACAGACCAACACCCAGGTTGGTGGCCACAGCCCTAAATGCTGATGGAGAATCACTGCAAGTCTGTAGGGAAGATGTCTGGCTTGAGGCCACTGAGCGAAGTGGCAGATCCTTCTCAGCCTTCAGTGCTGAGCCTCTGTCCCCTCAGGGATCCACTGACCAATGAGAAGAGCCTCTTCTCATCTCCTGGGATGGAGCTTGGGGCCCCTGGCGAAGGAATGGGCCTGTTTCCACCTGTCATGTTGTCATCTAGCTTGGAAATCCTGCGAGTCCCAGGGAGGCCCTCCCCGAGTCCCCAGAGAAGACTCCCCCACTGAGTCTCCAAGGTGTGGAGAGAGCAAAAAACATCTAGGGTGGAAAATGCCTCCCATCAAGAGACATTGGGGCTCCCCCAACGATGGTTGCATCTGTGCCCCCCATGTGGAAATCACTCTTTGGTGAGAGGTGGGGGCTTCTGGAAATGGGCAATGGCGGGCGGCCAATGCTACCTCTAGTCTTTCCAATCTGAGCCCGGCCTTTCATGCTCCTGAGTCAGCATTGATGCTGTTTACATGTGTCCCAGGTGGGCTTCTGTACAAAGACTGGGAAGTGGTTTATGTGGCCTGTGCTCTATCTGCAAGCTTCAGGTAGGGTTGCAGTTACCACCCCAAACCCTAATGTGATCTGTCTGCCTCGCTCTGTCTGTCTGTCTATGCCTCTTTCTGTATGTTTGCTTTGTGTCTCTTCTGTCCAGCATCTCTGGCTGACACCCCCATGGCCACCCCCTCCATCTGAGGCTCCCCTGAATGTGGCCATTGTAGTCCATCTGAGTCCCACTATTTGGGGAACAGACTGGTTTCCTCACCTGTGACAGAAACAAGCAGTGGGTCACTAAGGTCTGACCACTCGTAGGGAGAGTCACGGAAAGAGCCGAAGCATCTGTAGGTCCCTCCGTGGGTGGCAGGGCCCAGAGGAAAGTTGGCCTGGAAGGTTCCATTGACCTTGGGCACTGCAGGGAACCTAAGTTCATGAGCCTCCCCCTCCCTTGATAGATGGTAGATGTCATAGGAGCTCCGGGAGCTGCAGGACAAGGTCACGCTCTCTCCTGCCTTAACCATGGGGCGCGGCTGGGCTGAGAGAGAAGGTTTCCCACATAGACCTGGAAGGAGAAGAGGCAGTTTCCTCAGGGAGGTTCTTCCTTGTCACAACTCCCCTCCCACCTGAGCTGAGAACTCACTCCCCTGCTCTATGGCCTAATGCTCTCTCTCTCTGTCTCACCCTCCACACCATCTCTCTTTATGTCTATTTCCTCTTTCCACCTTCTCTGTCTCTCTAGGTCTCTGACCTCACTTTCTCACCTCTAGATATGTTTTCCCTTTTTGGATTGTTTTATTCTCTCTGACTCTCCTTGGACTAGTTGACTTGATGTTACTTTTTTTAAATTCTGAGTTTCTCACTTTGTGTCCTGTTCATAACTTTCTGCATATTTCTATCTATTATCTATCGATATATCTATTTATCTATCTGGTGCCTATCTACAAATTCTCTACCTGTCATCTATATCTATATATAATCTATTTATCTATCAATTGTCTATCCAAAAATCATCTATTATCTATATCTATGTATCATCTCTCTCTCTCTATGATTTCTCTTTGTCTGCCTCTCTATCTCTATGTATTATCTATCTATCTTCATCTTCATCATCTCTATGTATCATCGATTAATCAATGAATGAATCGATCATCATCTATGTATCTATAACCTATTATCTATCATCTACCTATTTATCATCTATCTATATCTATCCATCTATCATCTGTCTTGCTCTGCCTCTCGGTCTCTCTAGTTCTCTTTGGAATCTCTGCAATTCATCCCCACATCTCCATCTTTCTATGTCCTTGTGCCTCTCCCTCAGGACTCTAATTTTAGTGCTTTTCTCTGTTCCCTTCCATTGTTCTCTCCACTTCTCTGCCCTCTTTTCTCCCTCTTTATGTGTCTGTGAGTCTCTCAATCTCCTTCCTCTGGCTCATTCTCTGTGTGTTTATGTCTTTGCTTTTTGGTGTCCCTGATTTCTCTCTGTGTCTCTCAGTGATCCTCTCATATGTGGGGTTATTTGGAATGTGAGCCTCAGAATCCAGTCTGGGGACCGCAAGTTCACACAGTATACAGGGGTTGATGTTCTGGGGCCATGATATCCTGGGACGATTACTCTCCATTGCATGGAAGGCAGAGGTGTCAGAATAAACACGGCATCTGTAGGTGCCAGAAGGCCTGAGGCCACAGGGCCCAACTCAGGCCAGAAATATGGGTGTCCTTGGGTTCTTCTGGTAGAGAACACTTTGTGGAAGTAAAACAGAAATGAAACTTCTAACCTGTGCCAGGTCTCTGAGCAAAGTCAGCATGGAAGGACACCTCTCTCTGGCACATGTCTGTCTGTGTCTCCTTTAACTCTTTCTGTCTTTTCTAACTCCCTGTATGGCCCCTGTGTCTGTCCTCTGTTATGACACCTGGTCTGTACTTGTGTCTCCTGTTTCTCTGTCTCTGTTGGTACAGACCTCACCAAATTAGTCTCTCTCCATAAGAATACCAAGCTCATCTTCCTTATAACCACCTGGGCCTCCAAGTCGTGGATCATTCACTCTGTGTCCCAGTGACAATGAGAATAATGTCCAGACACTCTCACCTGTAATCACGATGTCCAGAGGGTCACTGGGAGCTGACAACTGATAGGGGGAATGAGGAACAGAACCGTAGCATCTGTAGGTCCCTGCAAGGTCTTGCGTCATGCGACCGATGGAGAAGTTGGCCTTGGAGACCCCATCATGGAGCTCTCCAGTGAGGCGCAAAGTGTCATTAAACTTCCCCTCTCTGTGCAGAAGGAAGTGCTCAAACATGACATCTGACCAACATTGCAGGATGACTGTCTCTTCTGATTTCACCAGGGGACCTGGGTGGGCCAGGAGGGAAGGTTTTCTGTGGACTCCTAGGAAGAGAGGTTGTGACTTTAGAAGGCATCTCTCTTTATCATCCCATCCATGGCACCTAGAATGAGTGAGGCTTCCCCTCGCTGGTGTCTTATCTCTCTCCTTCCTCTCTGTGTCTTCATGTTCTTTTCTGTGCCCATAACTCCTGGTACAGGTCCTTCCATCTGTCTCCCTCCCTCTTCTCTGTCCCTCTGTCTCTAGTAGCTCCTGATTCCCTTGCCGCTGGGCTCAGCCTCATCTCTTGGGCTGTTGTATCTATTTCGAACTAATGTCTTTCCTGCTTCTATGTGGGGGTGGAAGAGGAACCAGGATAGGCTGCACGTCCAGGCTCTTAGCAGACTGGTTCAATCTCTTTTGGACGAATTGGAATCCTTGGCAGAAGGTATGAACTGATCAGTAAGGCAGGCACCAGTGTCCACACACCCTGTTCCTGGTGGGGACTGGGAGCCACTCTTGCCATGCCTGTGCCTTCTCCATGGTGCCAGCTTCCATAGGCTGGCTTCTGGTGCTGGTTTGAGGAGTATCAACCCCTCCCTATGTGGATGGAGCCTGGTGGTGGCATCATCATCCCACCCTTGCTGATCTCGGTGTAGCCAACCTTCTCTTTGTTTGGTTTCTTTAATTAATTAATTAATTTTGGAGTCAGAGTCTCACTCCTTCACCCAGGCTGGAGTGAAGTGGTGTGGTCTAGGCTCACTGCAACCTCTGTCTCCTGGGTTCAAGTGATTCTCCTGCCCTCAGCCTCCTGAGTTGCTAGGATTACATGCACCTGCCACCACGCCCGGCTATCCTTGTGTCCTTTCTTATCTTGTCCTTGACCTGGGTTCCAGTGTTGGTTTCCTGTTGGTGCTGTAGAAAATTATCAGAAGCATGGCAGCAGGAGAGAGCACACTGACCCCTTCCGTTTCTGGAGACAGAAATCGGACCCTGTTTTTTGAGGGCTAAAATCAAGGCATCTGCAGGGCTGCGTTCCCTCTGGAGACCCAGGAGAATCAGTTCCTTGACTTTTCCAGCCTCTATAGGCCACCTGCATTCATGGCTCATGGCCTTCCTCCACCTTCAAAGCTGATGGAGACTTCCATTGCACTGCTCTAATCGCCACTCCCCTCTTCCTTCTCCTCTCATGTGCACCCTTGTGATTACACTGAGCCCAGCAGGACAGTCCAGGCTGTCTCCCCATCTCAAGGTCAACTCAACAACCTGAGCTCCATCTTCCCCTTCAGTGCCTTCCCCTATAACATAAATAGTCACAGACTGCAGGGATTAGAATGCAGTCATCATTGGGGACAATTATTCTTTCCACCACAGCACCCATTTCCCTGTATTCAATCCCCTTTTACCCCAAATACAGTTAGGGTCTGGATGATGGGACGCTGGTGGACACTCCCACCAGAAGCTCTGGGACTCAGGAGGTGGGACAAGGAGAATCCCAGACAGGAGCCCTCTGACCTGTGACCATGATCACCAGGGGGTTGCTGGGTGCTGACCACCCAGTGAGGAAGTGTGGGTGTGAACCCCGACATCTGTAGGTCCCTGCATGTGCTGGGGTCACAGGGCCTATGAAAACGGTGTTTCGGAATACTCTGTTGTAGAGCTCAGGGACAGGCATCCCGTCTTCTTTGGACAGACTGAATTCGTTAAACCCAAGACGAGAGCGACACTGAAGAGCCACATGTTCTCCTTCAGACACCACAGGGCTGGGCCAGGCAGAGAGGAAGGGCTTGTCCTGACCACCTGGGGGAGAAGGAGGCGCCACCTTAGAGAGGAGGATGTGGAGCCGCCCCTCCCTCCACGTGTCAGAAGATTCTCCCATTTCCACTTTCTAAGGCTCCTACCACACCTGGGTGCCCAGGGCTACAGGAAGGACCCACCCCGCATAGACTTGGCGTCTCTCTACAACAAAAGTGTCAGCTGAGAACTTTGAGCAAGTGCTGAGTAAGGGACTCCTACTAGATTTTAATCCTGCAAGATTACTCACATAAAACAACACAAATAGACATGGAGTCGAGGGCATGTTCTTTGTGAATGGAATATCAGCCAATGTGTGAACCACAATACACAACTGAGCCCCCAACAGAGGATTTGGAAGGTCAGGGCCCTGGCTGGGGTTCCCCCACCTCTGAGGTAGAATGACAGCAGCCACACTGCAGCCCCTACCGTCATGGAAACGCTGGAGGGTGTGAGTTACACCTTTGTCCTCAGAGGCCTGCTGTTCCTAGCACTGCTTTGCTCCCTTCCTCTGCCAGTGACACCACATCCCAGCCGCACAGCCCAGCTTGGAGGACCCCAGTCTACCCTCCCGGGTTCCCACAGAACCTGACTCAGCCAAGGGAAAGGAAGGCTGGGGAGGGCAAGGTCGGAACTGTGGGCTGAGCACCCCAGGGTCTCCTCATCCTTGTTTATAAGAAAATCCCCCACCGGGCTTCCCTCCTGTTTCAGGAAAATCCTCTTATGTGGGGAGATGACACCCTAAGGTTTGGAGAAGGACTCACCCTCATGTGGCCAGGCCCCCTGCAGCAAGAAGAACCCTGGAAAGAAAGATCATGATGGACCATCCATCTGCAGGCAAACCAGGACTCCCTTGCTGCCCCCACTGGGCTGTGAGTCTTGGTAGCCAGGCCCTTGCTGGGCTGAAGGGAAACTCACCCTCAGTGCCAGCCTGCACCCAAGAACAGGGCTGTCGGCTGTGTAGAGACCCAGCCTGCAGGCCCATATCCGCACCCCAGGCCCCTATCCCCACCCCAAGCCCATATCTCCACTCCAGGCCCATATCTCCACTCCAGGCCAATATTTCCACCCTAGACCCATATCTCCAATCCAGGCCCATATCTCCACCCCAAGCCCATATCTCCACACCCAGGCCCATATCTCCATCCTAGGCCCATATGTCCACTCCAGGCCCAGATATCCACCTCTAGGCCCATGTCTCCACCTCCAGGCCCATATCTCCACCTCCAGGCCCATGTCTCCACTCCAGGCCCATATCTCCATCCCAGGCCAATATCTTCACTCCAGGCTCATATCTCCCCTCCAGGTTCCTATCTCCACTCCAGGCCCAGATCTCCACTCCAGGCCCATATCTCCACCTCCAGGCCCATATCTCCACTCCAGACCCAGATCTCCACTTCTAGGCCCATCACTCCATCTCCAGGCCCATATATCCACTCCAGGCCCAGATCTCCACTCCAGGCCCATAACTCCACCTCCAGGCCTATATCTCCACCTCTGGGCCCAGATCTCCATCCCCGCGCTCCCTCCCTCTATTCCTTTCCAGGACTCACCAACACACGCCATGCTGACGACCATGAGCGACATGGTGCTGCCGGTGCAGACAGGCAGCCGCGCCCCAGCTCAGCTCAGCAGCGCACAGGATGTTATTTGGCGCCCTGCCCATGCAGCTTACATGTTGACTACATCATGGGAGGGTGACGTACGCAGGCTCTTTCTACCTTGCATGAGGCCCAGTGGATGCTTGCTCAAGAGCGGAACACGGCTTCCTGGAAATTGTTCTCACTAGAATTGGCACCTCACGTCCTTCACTATGACCAACTCACAACACGTCTCAGATCCAACCTCCCGAACACAAGATGCCTAAAATCTGTGCTAACGTGAAAGACTTTTCATGTATTTTTATCCGAACACGAGATGCCTAAAATCTGTGCTAACATGAAAGACTTTTCATGTATTTTTTTTGTTTTTATCTGAGATTCAAACTCTTCTTCCTGTGTAATATGCAAAGTATCTAATAGGTATTATTAATGTTTTCGGAGTCATTGTGACTAATAAACCATTAGAATTTTTCATGCTTGTATTTCTAGTATTACAGCAGAACCAGCTAAAATGATTTAAATTCCCAGGGAAGGATTATGCAATTATTTACAATCTTAGAATTGTACTTTATCAGCAAAAACCACACCTGTAAATTCTGGAGTTTTGTAGTTTAATCTAAAATTTGTCTCATGACCCAAGATTCCAGAGTCCCAACTCTGGAGTTTGCTCTCTGTCTGTCTCTCTCCCTCCCTCGTTTTAAATTTTACAGAAATATCCAGTAACATAATGCTATAGAAAATCAAGTTTTCCCCAGCACGTTGGGAAGCCGAGGTGGGCGGATCAACTGAGATAAGGAGTTTGAGAGCAGCTTGGCCAATATAGTGAAACCGTGTCTCTGTTAAAAATCCAAAAATTAGCCGTGCCTGGTGGCAGGCACCTGTAACGCCAGCTGCTCAAGAGGCTGAGGCACGAGAATCGCTTGAACCTGGGAGGCGGAGGTTGCAGTGAGCTGAGATTGTGTCACTGCAGTCCAGCCTGGGCGACAGAGCAAGACTCCGCCTCAAGAAAAAAAAAGCAAACAGCCTATAATAACAAATTAGAGGGCTCTGGCTACTAAATTTAAAGGGTTCTATAAGGCTACATAAAGTGCAGCATCATCAAGAGTGTGGACACAGAGAGCCCCTTAGCAGAAACAGTGTCTAAAATACATCCATGTACACACAGTCCCTTTAGAGTTGACAAAGGCTGCCGTGTGGTTTAAGGTGGCATAGAATGTCTTCTCAATAAATAATATTAAACCAATTGGTTACACCTAGGAAAAAATAAATCTAACTCACACTATAAAAACACTTCTTAGTTTTTATCTAGTTGTACATTTTTTATGATTTATATTTAAATTTGAGAAATAAAAGTCATATACGGTCATCCTTCACTATTCGTGGGTGATTGGTTTTGAGATCTCCACTCAGATACCAAAATCTGTAGATGCTCAAGCCTCTTATATGAAATGGCACAGAGTTTGCAAATAACCTATGCACATCCTCCTGTATACATGAAATCATCTCTAGATTACTTATAATTCCTGATACAGCCTACACACAGCTTCATTTGTGTCCATTCAACATAGTTATGCTTTTTGAAACTCTGTGGATACTTTCTCTCAATATTTTTGATTTATACTTGGTTCAATAAACACCTGTAAACCCCGCAGATATGGAGGAGTGACCGTATATTTATATTATGAAAGATGATGTGTTGATATGTGTCCCCATGGAGATGAGACTAACAAGGCCTATGATTCTACAAATGTTTCATTGTGGAATGACTCTGCCAGCTTTCCAGGTCTGCAGAGAGTAAGAGTATCACTTGTTCATATGATTCGTGATCCTTGGAACCTCCTATGTGCTACATCTTTGGATGGAAATTGGAGTCTCAGAGACAAATGAGGCTCCACCCTGCTTCCAGAAACTCAGAGTCCGGGGATGAGAACTCAGTGGGGAACAGATGGGATTATATGGACATGGTACTGATAACACCGGAAGCCTTAGGCAAGAAAAGAGTCCCATTACCGAAACCATGGGGGCAGACATGTTTATTTGAAGGATGGAAAACTACATTGAAGTTATTTTAAAAAATATATAAGTTTTACTGCTGACAGAAGACTGAAAGCTAGTCTGAGGGGAGGTGGAACAGCATGAGGGAAGGTGGAACAACACGTGTCTAAGTGCTGCGTTAAGAGGGAGCCTCTTGTATGTTTGGAATTGTGAGTTCCTCAGTGTGATTGCAGCCTCAAGTAGACTAGGAAGTAAGCCAGTTAGGTTGGAGAGGTGGGCAGGGGTCAAGTGAAATGGAGAACTGTGGGCTAAGCAAAGGAGTGTGTTTTTTCTCCAGCAGGCAGTGGGGACCTTAGACATTTGTAAGCAAGTGAGAGGCACATTCAGATTTGTGGTGTGAGGAAGAGCGATGCCCTAAGATGCAGACTCATGCCTTCAGATTCCAGCTGCTGGTACATGGGAGCTGGCAACCCGGTTTTGAGACAGGGCTGTTGTCTCCCTAGAAGACGCCCTCAAGGCCTGACTGTGGTGCTCATGGGCAGGAGACAACTTTGGATCTGGACTCAGCATTTGGAAGTTCCGTGTACACGATGATATCTGTTGGGGGTGTCTTGGGCCTCTGAGAAGGGCGAGTGATTTTTCTCTGTGTGAAAACGCAGTGATTCAACTGTGTGTATGTCACCTCCTGAGGGTCTTGTTCATCAGAGTCCTGGAGAGAGGGAAATGCTGAGTGAGGGAGGGTGCTCACATTTTCCAGGACTCTTTGGGAATAACAGTAGCCACGAGCCCGGGCCGAGGAGTACCTACCTCGCTATTCGCTGTTCTGTTCCCTGCAGACTCTTGGTCCATTACCGCAGCATCTGTAGGAGACGGAAGTCAACAAAACAGCTCGGAGGGCACTTCTGGGTCCTCATTTCATAAGCAGATACCAACATACAGGGGGAGACCATAGGTGGCTGAGGTCCCTCAGTTGCCAACAGCAGACTCAGACATTCTATCTCTCTGAGCTCAAGGACCCATCCCATGAATAGCTCTGAGTTCCCATCCCATTGATTCTGTCTCCCACTTTCTGCCTGTCATGGAACCTTCTCCTGGATGTGAGTGGCTGCAGGGGACATGAGGATACAGTTCAGAATCAGGCAACGGTCTGTGAGTTGAAGGCAGGGGCAGGGAGTCTGGTGCCCTCTCTAGAAAGTCCTGCCTCTGTGGCTGCTGCCTTGGGCCAGGGACCATCCTGTTTGTGAGGAACACACACCTGAGTGCTCCCATCCTGCTTCCCCACATGGCCCTGAGCTCTCTGGCCTCTGCTTCGTGAGACTTACTTTTTTTGTTGGAGCACCAGCGATGAAGGAGAAAGAAGAGGAGGATGAAGAGGATGATGACCACTGAGGTCCCAATCAGAATGTGCAGGTGTCGGGGGTTACCTGGAAGAAGATGAGACACCAATAAGAAGCTAATCTTAGCAGTTCCTCTTTATGAATTGTCTCGCATTTCTTGATTGACAGGTAACCACATAAAACATCTCTTTAGGACAAGCACCCAGATGGCAGGAGACCCAGCTTTCTCCTGCTTTTTCAGTTATAGCTCTCATAGTAACCATAGAACGTGCTGAGGATACGACTACTTTAGTTGAGATGTTTGACCCCTTCAAACCTCACATTGAAATTTCACCCCCACTGTGGGAGGTTGGGCCTCTTGAGAGGTGTTTGGGTCATGGAGGTGGATCCATCATGAACACATCAATGCTGTCCCAAGGAGACGGGGTTAGCAAGTTCCCCCTCTATTAGTTCCCGGAGAGCTGGTTGTTAAAAAGAGCTTGGAAGCTCCATCACTCCCCCTCCCCCTTGCTCCCTCTCTTGCCGTGTGATCTCTGTGGTCTCTGCACAGACAGACCCTCCTTCCCTTCTGCCAGAGTGGGAGCAGCCTGAGGCCGTCACGAGAAATAGATGCTGGTGCCATGCTTCCAGTACAGCCTGCAGAACGGTGAGGCAAACCAATCTCTTTTCTTTAGAAGTTACCGAGGCTCAAGTGTTCCTTTAGAGCAACAAAAATGGCCTAAGACAGCAACTTCCTGAGATCAGGAGGAACGTCTCAGAACACCCTGGGCTGTCTTCCTGTTCTTCCTGGAGGACGTCATGCAGTGCTTTAGCTGAGTGCTTCCTGTGGCTCCAGGGTACAAAACCCAGGCTGGGCTGCTTTCTGGCTTCCCGCAGCTACACTGCAAATGGGGTGACTCCATATGTCCCGAGGAGCTTTTCTGAGCCTTGAGGGACTGGCTCACATTGAAATATAGGTTTCTGTTGTCACTCGCTGCTTATCTGTTAGTAATGAACCTGCCTATGTAACGTATTCTCTGTGTGTTCTGTCTCCCTGGAGTGACGGTGAGTGATAGGAATTGGCATAGGCCCAGGTGCAGTCCAGGAGGTGTTTAGAGTCTTCTCTGGGAAGACTGGACTGGGATTGATTCACAGCGAATGTGCTTTAGGGTTTCTACATCCACAGCATTCTTGAATCAAACAACTTGCATTCTCCAAGGAAAGAAAACAAAAGTGAAATCAAGATAAAAAAAGCGAAATAGAATTCTCTTATGTCAAACGGCCAGGAAATAGTGTTGAAGCCCGTGTGAAACCTGCTGCTCTTTGTGATCTCGGGAGACACATATTAGGCTGCTGTTCTACCCGAGAGGCTGGGGGAAGGACCACCCCCTCGGCCATCTATTGCTTCAATACCACCTGTCCTCCTGTGAATTAGTAGGAAAGGGGAGCAGGAGCTAGTGCTGTCGCTGATCTCTGATTCCAAGATCTGGACTCACTCCAAGGAGTGTTAATGTTTACCTCCCCATGGTCTACCTGAATCTCCACAGGTGATTGGAAGTAGGGGTGAGGTGGGGGATTTGGGTGAGTGGGCAAGTTTTTTTTGTGATGACCAGAGCACTTTCTCTATTCCAGGATCTGTGCTGGAGGATTCAGCGGACTTTCACATTTTCTATATGATCTCATGCTCACAGAAAGCCAAATAGGGAAGAGGTTTTAGGCTCATTGCCTAATGGATAAGATAAAGGATCAAAGAAGTAATTATAGAGAAATAGAAAAATCATGATTGGAATTCAGGTCCCTTTGTCATTTGCGTGTGTTATATTATATTTATATTTATGCATTTCTTATTTTTATTTTTTGAGACGGAGTCTCCTTGTGCCACCCAGGCTGGAGTGCAGTGATGCAACCTCCACTCACTGCAACCTCCACCTCCTGGGTTGAAGTCATTCTCCTGCTTCATCCTCCAGAGTAGGAGCTGGGATTACAGGGATGCACCACCATGCTCGGCTAATTTTTGTGTTTTTCCTAGAGACAGGGTTTCACCATGTTGGCCAGGCTGGTCTCGAACTGCTGACTTCATGTGATCCACCCGCCTTGGCCTCCTGCAGTGCTGGGTTACAGGCGTGAGCCACCGTTCACAGACTTGTATATTATGCTATAATAGGTCTCTTCATTTCCACCACCCCTCATATATCTGTCACTCCTTTGCCAGGTATTGATTTATGTGTAGGATGAATAAATCTCAGAAAGAAATTAATTAAGCGAGGATTAAACAAGTAGGAAAATCAAACCCAGCAAGCCTTTCCAGTCAATGATTCTACCTCACAAACCTATCTTATATCCATCTACTTCATTCATTTAGTGTCTAAATCAGCACCACATTTCACCAGTGGGGCGGCAATTGCCTTTTCCACGGTCTCCTAGATTCCAGTTATGCAACTGAGCCTCCCTTATTTTCATGTCAGTCATATTAATCATGTAGGGATTCCTGGCTACCCCGAGGTGAATCCAATGGCTGTGAGTGTCAAACACACACTCCTTGTTCCTCCTTAGTTTCCTGTGTACCCAGTGTGCTCTCCGTCTCTCCACAGTCATCTTGTCATTCTCCCCACATCATTCCCAGCATTTGAGGAAGAGCCTCTTCCTTCCACATCAGATTGTTTTCACCTTTGTGCCTTCACGGCTGACAGCTGTGTGTGCAAAATCCTTCCGCCAATCTTTCAGGGGTTCAATCCGTGTTTTTCATTAATGTCACAAATATCTGAATAGTGAGACCTTCTTTGTCACCTGAAATCATACACTCAGCATTATCTATTATTGATTTTGAATTCTGGCTGGGCACAGTGGCTCACGCCTGTAGTCCCATTACTTTGGCATGCTGAGACGGTCGGATCACTTGAGGTTGGGAGTTTCAGACAAGCTTGGCCAACGTGGTGAAACATCCTCTCTACAAAAAATATACAAAAAGAATTAGCCGGGCACGGTGGCAGTTGCCTGTAATCCCAGCTACTCGAGAGGCGGAGGCAGGAGAATCACTTGAATCCAGGAGAAGCAGGTTGCAGTGAGCCAAGATCGTGACACTGCACTGTAGCCTGGAAGACAGAGGGCAACTCTGTCTCAATAAACAAAAGAACAAACAAAAAATAGATTTCATGCACAGATGCTTCCCAATGGATCATTCATTTATAGATCCACTTGTGCATTCATTTTCTGCCCTCCCATTTAACCATCTGCAATATCAGTGTCCCAAGGGCAGAGGCCAAATGCATCTTGTTCACTGTTTGTGGAAGGCAGGAGAATGCTGTCCCACCCCAAAATGTCCCTGTCCTAGCCTCCATACCTTGTGAATATGTTATTTTACATGGAAAGGAGGAATGAAGATTGTAGATGGAATTACGGTTGCTAATCAGCTGAACTTAAAACAAGGGTATCCTGGATGATTTCCAGGAGATTATGAGGGATTTTCATCTTGGTGAACCCAATAGAATCCCCAAGTTTTCAAAAGATAAGGAAGAAGGGAGAGCAGCATTCAGAGAAAGAGGTGTGGTAAGGAAGAAGGCACTGAGTGATGCCATGTGAGATGTGACCAGTCTTTGTGGGTTTTGAGGAAGGAGGAAGGGGACCAGGAGCCAAGGAACTGGGAGCCTTTAGAAGCTGGGACAAGTGAGAAGCAGATTCTTGCCTGGAATCCTCAGAGGGAAGGCAGCCTTGCTGTCACCTTGATTTTAGCCCAGTAAGATGCACTTCCTACTTTGAGCTACAGCACTGTAAGATAATTAAAAAACCGTTTTGTTTTCACCCACGAATCTTGTGGAAATTTGTTATGGCAACAATAGGAAAAGGTTCCGCACTGCACAGCCTGAGCATGGGGCCGTGGCTGAATGAGTCAGTGAGTCGAAGTGTGCGTGCATGAGCTCCGTTCTCTGTTACGGCAAGGCTGTTGCTCTGCTGAGTCAGCCAGGGTTGCTTCATGACCAACAGTAATTCATTCCTTGGCAAGTGGAACTTCTCTAAAACACCTCGCCCTCATCAGATGTTCCCTTCCCTTCCCTCTCTCAAGCCCCCAGGAATTTATCCTCCAGTTAGGAATGCAGGCAGAACAAACATTGCATTTTTCCTGAGAAGGATGTCAGATTGGCAATCATTCTTCTAGCTTGTAGGAGGTCTCAGCTCCATAAAATGAGAGATTAAGAGATTTCACTGAGCCCTAGGTTGGGCCCAGATCCCTTTCGCTGTTGGAGTATCTGGAGTTCGGAGATGGTAGAAGACAGGCGTACAATGTCAGAGCTGCGAGATGCTGAGTCAATGCCTGCATCGAAGGTTTCTACCTCCCCAGGTTTCCAAAAGCGGATATAAGAGGGTTCTGTACTCACCGGTTTTAGAGCTTGGTTCAGTGGGTGAAGGCCAACTATTTGAAGGGTTTCCTAGAACATGAGACAGGAGAGAGGTGAGGAAATGAGGGTGTCTGTCCTCTACTCAATGGAAATCTTTGAGGTTGGTTCATGGCCAACACTCTGTTATCTAATATTGGGCCCTGGGAGTCCTGGGATCCTTTTTTCCATAATTTTTGTATGTGACGCCCATTGTCTTGAGACTTCAAGGTATAAAGAGAAAACAGGAGCATCACACTACCTGATCTCAAAATATGTTACAGAGCTGTAGTAAGCAAGACAGCATGATGTTGGCATGAAGAAAGGCACATAGAACAATGGAGCAGAATGAACAACACAAATATAATCCATGCATTTACATCCAATGTTTTTTTCTTTTTTCTTTTGAGATGGAGTCTCGCTCTGTCACCCAGGCTGGAGTGCAGAGGTGCAATCTCGGTTCACTGCCACCACAGCCTCCTGGGTTCAATCAATTCTCTGGCCTCAAACTCCTGAGTAGTGGTATTATAGGTGCTGACCACCATGCTCAGCTAATTTATATATTTTTAGTGGAGACAATGTTTCATCACGTCGGCCAGACTAATCTTGAACTCCTGGCCTCAGGTGATCCACCCGCCTTGGGCTCCCAAAGTGCTGAAATTGCAGGTGTCAGTCACCATGCCCAGCCCATCCAATGGACTTTGACAAAGGTGCCAAGAACTCACAATCAGGAAAGGACAGTCTTTTCAATAAACAGTGCAGGGAAACCTGGACATCTACATGCAGAGGAATGAAACTGCACCTCTACCTGTCACCATACACAAAAATCAAATGAAAATGGATTAAAGATGTGAGTCTAAGGCCTGAACCTATGAAACACGTAGAAGAAAATATTGGGGAAATGCTCCAGGACATTTGTCTGAAGGAAGACATTTTGTTTTAAACCTTCAAAACACAAGTAATCGAAGCAAAAATAGACCATTGGGATTACCTCAAGCTAAGCAACTTCTGCACCGCTAAAAATAAACCAACAAAGTGAAGAGACAACCCACAGATTGGGAGCAAATATGTGCAAACTATGCATCTGAGATGGGATTAATAACTAGAAATATAAGAAGCTCAAACAACTCAATAAAACAAATGATTTAATTGAAACAGGAGCAAAAGACATGAAATTTCCCCACATACGAAAAACTGCTCAGTATCACTCATCATCAGAGAAACGCAAATTAAAATCAAAGTGAGTTTTCATCTCACCCCATTAAAATGGCTTTTAGGCCGGGCGTGGTGGCTCACGTCTGTCATCCTAGATCTTTGAGAGCCTGAGGTGGGTGAATCTCATAAGGTCGGGAGTTTGAGACCAGTCTGACCCACATGGAGAAACACTGTCTCTACTAAAAATACAAAAATTAGTCGGGCGTGGTGGCGTGTGCCTGTAATTCCAGCTACTCGGGAGGCTGAGGCAGGAGAATCGCTTGAACCTGGGAGGTGGAGGTTGTGGTGAGCCGAGATCGCACCACTGCACTCCAGCCTGGGTGACAAGAGCGAAACTCCATCTCAAAATAAAATGAAATAAAGTAAAATGGCTTTTAGCTGCAAGACAGGCAAAGGAAATCCTGCCAAAGTGGTAGAGAAAGGAGAACCCTAATACCCTGTTGGTAGGAGTGTAAATTAGTACAGCCTTTACGGAGAAAAGTGTGGAAGTCCTTTAAAGAACTAAAAAGAGGTTGGGTGAGGTGGATCATGCCTGTAATCCCGGCACTTTGGGAGACCGAGGCGGACACCTCAGTTGAGGTCATGAGTTTGAGAGCAGCCCAGCCAACATGGGGAAACCCCATCTATACTAAAAAAACCAAAAAGTAGCCAGGCATGGTGGCGTGCACCTGTAATCCCAGCTACTAGGGAGGCTGAGGTAGGAAAATCATTTGAACCCAGGAGGCAGAGGTTGCAATGAGCCAAGATGACATCACTTGTACTCCAGCCTGGGCACAGAGGGAAACTGTCTCAAAAACAAAAACAAAACAACAAACGAATAACTAAAAAGAGAACTTTCATAGTATCCAGCAATTTCACTACTGGGTTTATATCCAAAGGAAAGTAAATCAATATATCGAAGTGATATCTGCACTCGTATGATTGGTGCAGCACTGTTCACAGTAGCCAAGATGTGGAGTCAACCTACCTGCCCATCAGTGGATGAATGGATAGAGAGAATGTAGTACATACGCACAGTGGAGACTACTCATCCATAGAAAGAATAACATCCTGATATTTGCAGCCACATGGATGGAACTGGAAGTCATTACAAAGATTCCCATTTCTCACCCATATACAGAGCTAAAAGGTGGATCTCATGAAGGTAGAGAGTAGAATGGTGGCTTCCAGAGGCCAGGAAGAAAAGGGTGGAGGGTAAAAAAAAAAATATATATATATATATATATATATATATATATATATATATATATATATACACATATATATATGTATATATATGTGTGTGTATATATATATACATACATATATATATATATATATATTTATAAATGTATTTATGACCACTAGACTTTACACTTAAAAATGGTAAATGTGGCTGGGAGTGGTGGCTCATGCCTGTAATCCCAGCACTTTGGGAGGCAGATGCGGGTGGATCACGTGGTCAGGAGTTGGAGACCAGCTCGACCAACATGGTGAAACCACCTCTCTACTAAAAATACAAAAAGTAGCCTGGCGTGGTGGTGCGCGCCTGTAGCACCAGCTACTCAGGTGGCTGAGGCAGGAGAATCACTTGAACCCAGGAGGCGGAAGTTGCAGTGAGCTGAGATTGTGCCACTGCACTGCAGCATAGGGGACAGAGCTAGACTCTGCCTCAAAAAAAAAAAAAATGTTAAAGGTGGTAAGCTATATAGGTATATTTATCCTCAATAAATATTTCTTCAAACAAAAGTAAAGGGTGTAGGGGTTGCTGGTGATGACATCCCTGTGTGGGTGAGAGGCCAGGATGGGCTTCTGGGAAATGGGTAATGTTGAGGGGCTGAGGGAACCTCTGATCTTCCCAAACTGAGCCCAGTCTCCCTCCTCTGGGTCTCTCCTGACCGCTTTCTCCATCTGCCTGTGTGCCTGGAGCCCTGGCCGCGGGCCTTCATGCAGGCCGTGTAGGAGGGTTTGGAGGTGCCCTGTCTGCCATCCTGTGCCCTGATCCCTCCCTCACACCCAAGCTTCGTCTTCTCTCTGCATCTGTCCATGCTTATCTCCATCATCAGCAGGAAGCTCCTCAGCTAAGGCTCTAGGATCATAGGACATGAGACAGATATGGGGTTTCCTCACCTGTGACAGAAACAAGCAGTGGGTCACTCGAGTTTGACCACTCGTATGGAGAGTCACGGAAAGAGCCGAAGCATCTGTAGGTTCCTCCGTGGGTGGCAGGGCCCAGAGGAAAGTCGGCCTGGAATGTTCCGTTGACCTTGGGCCCTGCAGAGAACCTACATTCATGGGCCTCCCCCTCCCTGGATAGATGGTACATGTCATAGGAGCTCCGGGAGCTGCAGGACAAGGTCACGCTCTCTCCTGCCAGAACCGTGGGGCCCGGCTGGGCTGAGAGAGAAGGTTTCTCATATAGACCTGGAAGGAGAAGAGGCATTTTCCTCAGGGAGGATCTTCCTTGTCACAGCTCCCTTCACCTGAGCTGAGAACTCACTCCCCTGCTCTATGACCTAATGCTCTCTCTCTCTCTCTCTCACCCTCCACCCCATCTCTCTTCATGTCTATTTCCTTCTTCCACCTTCTCTGTCTCTCTAGGTCTCTGACCTCGCTTCCCCACCTCTAGATATGTTTTCCGTTTTTGGATTGTTTTATTCTCTCTGACTCTCCTTGGATTGGTTGACTTGATGTTACTTTTTTAAATTCTAAGTTTCTCACGTTGTGTCCTGTTCATAACTTTCTGCATATTTCTATCTATTATCTGTCGATCTATCTATTTATCTATTCGGTGCCTATCTACAAATTCTCTACCTGTCATCTATATCTATATATCATCTATGTATCTATCAGTTGTCTATCTATCCATCAATCATCTGTTATTTATATGTATGTATCATCTCTCTCTCTATGATTTCTGTCTGCCTCTCTATCTGTACGTATTATCTGTCTTCATCATCATCATCTCTATGTATTATCTATTAATGAATCAATCAATCATCATCTATGTATCTTTAACCTATTATCTATCATCTACCTATTTATCATCTATCTATATCTATCCATCTATCATCTGTATTGCTCTGCCTCTCGGTCTCTCTAGCTCTCTTTGGAATCTCTGCAATTCATCCCCACATCTCCATGTTTCTATGTCCTTGTGCCTCTCTCTCAGGACTCTAATTTTAGTGCTTTTCTCTGCTCCCTGCCATCATTCTCACCACTCCTCTGCCCTCTTTTCTCTCTCTTTATGTGTCTGTGAGTCTCTCAATCTCCTTCCTCTGGCTCATTCTCCGTGTGTTTATGTCTTTGCTTTTTGGTGTTCCTGATTTTTCTCTGTGCCTCTCAGTGATCCTTTCATATGTGGGGTTATTTGGAATGTGAGCCTCAGAATCCAGTCTGGAGACCACAAGTTCACACAGCATACAGGGGTTGGTGTTCTGGGGCCATGATATCCTGGGACGGTTACTCTCCATTACATGGAAGGCAGAGGTGTCAGAATAAACATGGCCTGTAGGTGCCACAAGGCCTGAGGCCACAGGGCCCAACTCAGGTCAGAAATATGGGTGTCCTTGGGTTCTCCTGGTAGAGAACACTTTGTGGAGGTAAAACAGAAATGAAACTTCTAACCTGTGCCAGGTCTGTGAGCAAAGTCAGCATGGAGGGACACCTCTCTCTGGGACATGTCTGTCTGTCTGTCTCTTTTAACTCTTTCTGTCTTTTCTAACTCCCTGTATGGCCCCTGTGTCTGTCCTCCGTTATGACACCTGGTCTGTACTTGTGTCTCCTGTTTCTCTGTCTCTGTTGGTACAAACCTCAGCAAGTCAGTCTCTCTCCATAAGAATACCAAGCTCATCTTCCTTACAACTACCTGGGGGTTCCAAGTCGTGGATCATTCACTCTGCAGCCCAATGACAATGAGAATGTCCGGACACTCTCACCTGTGATGACGATGTCCAGAGGGTCACTGGGAGCTGACAACTGATAGGGGGAGTGAGTAACAGAACCGTAGCATCTGTAGGTCCCTGCAAGGTCTTGCATCATGGGACCGATGGAGAAGTTGGCTTTGGAGACCCCATCATGGTGCTCTCCAATGAGGTGCAAAGTGTCCTTAAACTTCCCTTCTCTGTGCAGAAGGAAGTGCTCAAACCTGACATCTGACCAACATTGCAGGATGACTGTCTCTTCTGATTTCACCAGGCGACCTGGGTGGGCCAGGAGGGAAGGTTTTCTGTGGACTCCTAGGAAGAGAGGTTGTGAGTTTAGAAGGTGTCTCTCTTTATCATCCCATCCATGGCACCTAGAATGAGTGAGGCTTCCCCTTGCTGGTGTCTGTCTCTCTCCTTCCTCTCTGTGTCTTCATGTTCTTTTCTGTGCCCTTAACTCCTGGTGCAGGTCCTTCCATCTGTCTCCCTCCCTCTTCTCTGTCCCTCTGTCTCTAGTAGCCTCTGATTCCCTTCCCACTGGGCTTAGCCTCATCTCTTGGGGTGTTGTATCTATTTCACACTAATGTCTTTCCTGCTGTTTATGTGGGGGTGAAAGAGGAACCAGGATAGGCTGCACATCCAGGCTCTTATCAGCCTGGTTCAATCTCTTTTGGATGAATTGCAATCCTTGGCAGAAGATATGAACTGATGAATAAGGCAGGCACCAGTGTCCACACACCCTGTTCCTGGTGGGGACTGGGAGCCACTCTTGCCATGCCTGTGCCTTCTCCATGGTGCCAGCTTCCATAGGCTGGCTCCTGGTGCTGGTTGGAGGAGTATCAACCCCTCCCTATGTGGATGGAGCCTGGTGGTGGCATCATCATCCCACCCTTGCTGATCTCAGGGTAGCCAACCTTCTCCTTCTTTGGTTTCTTTAATTAATTAATTAATTTTGGAGACAGAGTCTCACTCCTTCACCCAGGCTGGAGTGAAGTGGTGTGGTCTAGGCTCACTGCAACCTCTGTTTCCTGGGTTCAAGTGATTCTCCTGCCCTCAGCCTCCTGAGTCGCTAGGATTACATGCACCTGCCACCATGCCTGGCTTTCCTTGGGTTGTTTCTTAACTTGTCCTTGACCTGGGTTCCAGTGTTGGTTTCCTGTTGCTGCTGTACAAAATTATCAGAAGCATGGAAGCAGGAGAGACCACACTGACACCTTCCAGTACTGGAGACAGAAATTGGACCCTATTTTTCCTGGGCTAAAATCAAGGCATCTGCAGGGCTTTGTTCCCTCTGGAGACTCTGGAGAATCAGTTCCTTGACTTTTCCAGCCTCTATAGGCCACCTGCATTCATGGCTCTTGGCCTTCCTCCACCTTCAAAGCTGGTGAAGACTTCCACTGGACTGCTCTAATCCCCACTCCCCTCTTCCTCCTCCTTTCATGTGCACCCTTGTGATTACACTGAGCCCAGTGGGACAGTCCAGGCTGTCTCCCCATGAGCTCCATCTTCCCCTTCAGTCCCTTCCCCTATAACATACATAGTCACAGACTCCAGGGATTAGAATGTAGTCATCACTGGGGACAATTATTCTTCCCACCACAGCACCCATTTCCCTGTATTCAATCCCCCTTTACCACAAATACAGTCAGGGCCTGCGTGATGGGACCCTCAAGGACATGCCCACCAGAAGCTCTGGGATTCAGGAGGTGGGACAAGGAGAATCCAAGACAGGAGCCCTCTGACCTATGACCACGATCACCAGGGGGTTGCTGGGTGCTGACCACCCACTGGGGGAGTGTGTGTGTGAACCCCGACATCTGTATGTCCCTGTTGTGCGGGGGTCACAGGGCCCATGAAAAGGCTGTTCCAGAATATTCTGTTGTAGAGCTCAGGGACAGGCACCCCACCTTCCTTGTACAGACTGAAGTTGTTAAACCCAAGATAAGAGTGACACCGAAGAATGACATGTCCTAGAGGCACCACAAGGCTGGGCCAGGCAGACAGCAAGGGCTTGTCCTGACCACCTTGGGGAGAAGGAGGCGCCGCCTTAGAGAGGAGGATGTGGAACTGCCCCTCCCTCCCTGTGCTCAGAAGATTCTCCTCGCTTTCCACGTTTCTATGGCTACTATCACACCTTGGTGCCCAGGGCTGAAGGAAGGACCCATCCCGCAAAGACATGGTGTCTCCCTACAACAAAAGCCTCAGCTGAGAACTTTGAGCAAGTGCTGAGTAAAGAGACTCCTACTAGATTTTGATACTGTAAGATTACTCACATAAAACAACACAGGGTAGACATGAGGTGGAGGGCATGTCCTTTGTGAATGGATATCAGCGGATGCCTGAACGAAAATAAACAACTGAGCCCCCATCAGAGGATTTGGAATGTCAGGGCCATGGCTGTGGTTTCCCACCTCTTCTGGTAGAATGACAGCAGCCACACTGCAGCCCCTACCATCATGGAAACGCTGAAGTGTGTGAGTAACACCTTTGTCCTCAGAGGATCTGCTGTTCCTACCACTTCCCAACCACACACCCCAGCTTTGAGCACCCCAGTCTAACCCTGGTCCCCACAGAACTTGACTCTGCCAAGGGGTTGAGAGGCCAGGGAGGCGAGGTCAGAAATGTGGGCTGAGCACCCCAGGGTCCTCTCTTCCTAGTTTATGAGAGACTCCCCGACAGGACTTCCCTCCTGTTTCAGGAAAATCCTCTTATGTGGGGAGATGACACCCGAAGGTTTGGAGAAGGACTCACCCTCATGTGGCCAGGCCCCCTGCAGCAAGAAGAACCCTGGAAAGAAAGATCATGATGGACGATCCATCTGCAGGCGAACCAGCCCTCCCTTGCTGCCCCCACTGGGCTGTGAGTCTTGGCAGCCAGGCCCTTCCTGGGCTGAAGTTAAACTCACCCTCAGTGCCTACCTGCACCCAAGAACAGGGCTGTCGGCTGTGCAGAGACCCAGTTTCCAGGCCCATATCCCCACCCCAAGCCCATATCTCCACTCCAGGCTGATATTTCCACCCTAGGCCCATATCGCCAATCCAGGCTCAGATCTCCACCCTAGGCCCCTATCTCCAATCCAGTCCCATATCTCCGCCCCAGGCCCAGAACTCCACCCTAAGCCCATATCTCCACTCCAGGCCCATATCACCTCTCCAGTCCCATATCTCCACACCCAGGCCCATATCTCCTTCCTAGGCCCATATCTCCACTCCAGGCCCAGATATCCACCTCTAGGCCCATAACTCCACTCCTGGCCCATATCTCCACTCCAGGCCCATATCTCTACTGCAGGCCCGTATCTCCACCTCCAGACCCATATCTCCACTCCAGGCCCATATCTCCACCTCCAGGCCCATATCTCCACCTCCAGGCCCATATCTCCACTTCAGGCCCATATCTCCACTCCAGGCCCATATCTCCACTCCAGGCCCCTATCTCTACTGCAGGCCCATATCTCCATCTCCAGGCCCATATCTCCATCTCCAGGCCCATGTCTCCACTACAAGCCCATATCTCTACTGCAGGCCCATATCTCAACCTCCAGGCCCATATCTCCACTCCAGGCCCAGATCTCCACTTCTAGGCCCATCACTCCATCTCTAGGCCCATAACTCCACTTCCAGGCCTATATCTCCAACTCTGGGCCCCGATCTCCATCCCCGCACTCCCTCCCTCGATTCCCTTCCAGGACTCACCAACACACGCCATGCTGACGACCATGAGCGACATGGTGCTGTCTGTGCAGACAGGCGGCCGCGCCCCAGCTCAGCTCAGCAGCGCACAGGATGTTATTTGGCGCCCTGCCCATGCAGTTTACATGTTGACCACATCATGGGAGGGTGACGTACGCAGGCTCTTTCTACCTTGCATGAGGCCCAGTGGGTGCTCGCTCAAGAGCGGAACATGGCTTCCTGGAAATTGTTCTCACTAGAATTGACACCTTGCGTCCTTCACTACGACCAGACTCAAAAGACGTCTCAGATCCAACCTCTCATACACGAGATGATTGAATTCTGTGCTTACATTAAAGATTTTTGATGTATTTTTGTTTTTATCTGAGATTCAAACTCTTCTTCATATGTAATGTGCAAAATGTCTAACAGGTATTATTAACATTATCAGAGTAATTGTGACAAGAAGCCATTCTAATTTTCCTGCTTGAGTTTCTAGTACTAAACCAGAGGCATCAGAATAGCTTGAACCTGGGAGGCGGAGGTTGCAGTGAGCTGAGCTCAAGCCACTGAACTCCAGCTTGGGTGACAGAGGAAGAGTCTGTCTCAAGAAAAAAAAAAAAGCAAACTAAATAACCTATAATAACAAATCAGAGGACTCAGGTTACCAAATTTTAAGGGGTTCTATAAGTTTATATAAAATGCAGCATCCTCATGAGAGGGGATACAGAGAACCACTGGACAGAAAACTGTGTCTAAAATACATCTGTGGATACACAGTCCCTTTATAGTTGACAAAGGCTGCCATGTAGTTTAAGGTGGAATAGAATATTTTCTCAACAAATAACACAGGACCATAGGGTTACACGTAGGAAAAAATAAATCTAAACTTATCCTCACACTATAAAAACACTTCTTATTTTTTATCTTGTTGTTGTAAATTTTTTATGCTTTATTTTTAAGATTGACAAATAAAAATTATATACCATGGTCCTTCACTATACCTGGGTGATTGGTTCCAGGATCCCCATTCAGATACCAAAATCTGCAGATGCTCAAGCCCCTTGCATGAAATGGCATAGTGAAGCTGGGCACCGTGGCTCACGCCCGTAATCCCAGCACTTTGGGAGGCTGAGCTGGGTAGATCACAAGGTCAGGAGTTCAAGACCAGCTGGTCCAACATTCTGAAACCCCGTCTCTACTAAAAATACACACACAAAAAAATTTATCTGTGCATGGTGGCACGTGCCTGTAATCCTAGGGGAGGCTACTGGGGAGGCTGAGGGAAGACAATCGCTTGAACCTGGGAGGCGGAGGTTGCAGTGAGTTGAGATCACGCCACTGCACTCCAGCCTGGGTGAGAGAGTGAGACTGTCTCAAAAAAAAAAAATAGCATAGCAATTGCATAGAACCCATGCACATCCTCCTGTATACATGAAATCATCTCTTGATTACTTATAATTCCTGACACAGCCTACACGCCACTCAATTTGTGTCGATTCAACATAGTTTTTTGCTTCTTGAAACTTCGGGGATTTTTTTCTCAAAATATTTTTGATTTATTGTTGGTTCAATAAACACCTGTAAACCCCACAGATATGGAGGACCGACTGTATATTTATATTATGAAAGATGATATGTTGATATGTGTCCCCGTGGAGATGAGACTAACAAGGCCTATGACTCTACAAATGTTTCATCGTGGAATGACTCTGCCAGCTTTCCAGGTCTGCAGAGAGTAAGAATATCACTTGTTCATGTGATTCACGATCCTTGGAGCCTCCTATGTGCTGTATCTTTGGATGGAAATTGGAGTCTCAGAGACAATTCAGGCTCCATTCTGCTTCCAGAAGCTCAGAGTCCAGGGCTGAGAACCCAATGGAGAACAGATGGGGTTATGTGGACATGGTAATGATAACACCGGAAGCCTTAGGCAAGAGAAGAGTCTCGTTACCGAAACCATGAGGGCAGACATGTTTATTTGAAGGCGGGAAAACTACATTGAAATTATTTAAAAAATTTATAAGTTTTACTGCTGGCAGAAGGCTGAAAGATAGTCTGAAGGGAGGTGGAACAGCACGTGTCTAAGTGCTGTGTTAAGAGGGAGCCTCTTGTATGTTTGGAATTGTGAGTTCCTCAGTGTGATTGCAGCCTCAGGTAGACTAGGAAGTAAGCTAGTTAGGTTGGAGAGGTGGGCAGGGGTCAAGTGAAATGGAGAATTGTGGGCTAAGCAAAGGAGTGTGTTTTCTCTCCAGCAGGCAGTGGGGACCTTAGACATTTGTAAGCAAGAGAGAGGCATGTTCAGATTCGTGGTGTGAGGAAGAGCGATGCCCTAAGATGAAGACTGATGCCTTCAGATTCCAGCTGCTGGTACATGGGAGCTGGCAACCCGGTTTTGAGACAGGGCTGTTGTCTCCCTAGAAGATCCCCTCAAGGCCTGACTGTGGTGCTCGTGGACAGAAGACAACTTTGGATCTGGGCTCAGCATTTGGAAGTTCTATGTACATGCTGGTATCTGTTGGGGGTGTCTTGGGCCTCTCAGAAGGGCGAGTGATTTCTCTCTGTGTGAAAACACAGTGATCCAATTATGCGTATGACACCTCCTGATGGTCTTGTTCATCAGAATCCTGGAGAGAGGGAAATGCTGAGTGAGGGAGGGTGCTCACATTTTTCAGGACTCTTTGGGAATAAGACTAGCCACGAGGCTGGGCCGAGGAGCACCTACCTCGCTGTTCACTGTTCTGTTCCCTGCAGGCTCTTGGTCCATTACAGCAGCATCTGTAGAAGACGGAAGTCAACAAAAGAGCTCGGAGGGCACTTCTGGGTCCTCATTTCATAAGCAGATACCAACAAACAGGGGGAGGCCATAGGTGCCTGAGGTCCCTCAGTTGCCAACAGCAGACTCAGACATTCTATCTCTCTGAGTTCAAGGACCCATCCCATGAATAGCTCTGAGTTCCCATCCCATTGATTCTATCTCCCACTTTCTGCCTGTCATGGAACCTTCTCCTGGATGTGAGTGGCTGCAGGGGACGTGAGGGTACAGTTCAGAATCAGGCAACGGTCTGTGAGCTGAAGGCAGGGGAAGGGAATCTGGTGCTCTCTCTAGAAAGTCCTGCCTCTGTGGCTCCTGTCTTGGGCCAGGGACCATCCTGCTGGTGAGGAACACACACCTGAGTGCTCCCATCCTGCTTCCCCACATGGCCCTGAGCTCTCTGGCCTCTGCTTCGTGAGACTTACTTTTTTTGTTGGAGCACCAGCGATGAAGGAGAAAGAAGAGGAGGATGGTGAAAGGGATTTTGACCACTGAGGTCCCAATCAGAACATGCAGGTGTCTGGGGTTACCTGGAAGAAGAGGAGACACCAATAAGAAGCTAATCATAGCAGTTCCTCTTTATGAATTGTCTCGCATTTCTTGATTGGCAGGTAACCACATACAACGTCTCTTTAGGACAAGCACCCAAATGGCGGGAGACCTAGCTTTCCCCTGCTTTCTCAATTATAGCTCTCATAGTAACCATAGAACGTGCTGAGGATACAACTACTTTAGTTGAGATGTTTGACCCCTTCAAACCTCACATTGAAATTTCACCCCCATTGTGGGAGGTTGGGCCTCTTCAGAGGTGTTTGGGTCATGGAGGTGGATCCATCATGAACAGATCAATGCTGTCCCAAGGAGACGGGGTTAGCAAGTTCCCCCTCTGTTAGTTCCTGGACAGCTGGTTGTTAAAAAGAGCTTGGAAGCTCCATTGCTCCCTCTCCCCCTTACTCTCTCTCTTGCCGTGTGATCTCTGTGGTCTCTGCACAGACAGACCCTCCTTCCCTTCTGCCAGAGTGGGAGCAGCCTGAGGCCATCACGAGAAATAGATTCTGGTGCCATGCTTCCAGTACAGCCTGCAGAACTGTGAGGCAAACCGATCTCTTTTCTTTAGAAGTTACCGAGGCTCAAGTGTTCCTTCAGAGCAACAAAAAAAAAAACTAAGACAGCAACGACCTGAGATCAGGAGGAATGTCTCAGAACAGCCTGGGCTGTCTTCCTGTTCTTCCTGGAGGAAGGCGTCATGCAGTGCTTTAGCTGAGTGCTTCCTGTGGCTCCAGGGTACAAAACCCAGGCTGGGCTGCTTTCTGGCTTCCCCCAGCTACACTGCAAATGGGGTGACTCCATATGTCCCGAGCAGCTTTTCTGAGCCTTGAGGGACTGGCTCACATTGAAATGTAGGCTTCTGTTGTCACTCGCTGCTTATCTGTTAGTAATGAACCTGCCTGTGTAATGTATTCTCTGTGTGTTCTGTCTCCCTGGAGTGACGGTGAGTGATAGGAATTGGCATAGGCCCAGGTGCAGTCCAGGAGGTGTTTAGAGTCTTCTCTGGGAAGACTGCACTGGGATTGATACACAGCGACTGTGCTTTAGGATTTCTACATCCACGGCATTCTTGAGTCAAACAACTTGCATTCTCCAAGAAAAGGAAACAAAAGTGAAATCAAGATAAAAAAAGCGAAGTAGAATTCTCTTATGTCAAATGGCCAGGAAACAGTGTTGAAGCCCATGTGAAACGTGCTACTCTTTGTGATCTCAGGAGACACATGTTAGGTTGCTGTTCTACCCGAGAGGCTGGGGGAAGGACCACCCCCTCGGCCATCTATTGCTTCAATACCACCTGTCCTCCTGTGAATTAGTAGGAAAGGGGAGCAGGAGCTACTGCTGACGCTAATCTCTGATTCCAAGATCTGGACTCACTCCAAGGAGTATTAGAATTTACCTCCCCATGGCCTATCTGAATCTCCACAGATGATTGGAAGTAGGGGTGAGGTGGGGGATTTGGGTGAGAGGGCATGTTTTCTTGTGATGAACAGAGCACTTTGTGTATTCCAGGATCTGTGCTGGAGGATTCAGCGGGCTTTCACATTTTCTATATGATCTCATGCTCACAGAAAGCCAAATAGGGAAGAGGTTTTAGGCTCATTGCCTAATGGATAAGATAAAGGATCAAAGAAGTAATTATAGAGAAATAGAAAAATCATGATTGGAATTCAGGTCCCTTTCTCATTTGCATGTGTTATATTATATTTATATTTATGCATTTCTTATTTTTATTTTTTGAGACGGAGTCTCCTTGTGTCACCCAGGCTGGAGTGCAGTGATGCAATCTCCACTCACTGCAACCTCCACCTCCTGGGTTGAAGTCATTCTCCTGCTTCATCCTCCAGAGTAGGAGCTGGGATTACAGGGATGCACCACCATGCTCGGCTAATTTTTGTGTTTTTCCTAGAGACAGGGTTTCACCATGTTGGCCAGGCTGGTCTCGAACTGCTGACTTCATGTGATCCACCCGCCTTGGCCTCCTGCAGTGCTGGGTTACAGGCGTGAGCCACCGTTCACAGACTTGTATATTATGCTATAATAGGTCCCTTCATTTCCACCACCCCTCATATATCTGTCACTCCTTTGCCAGGTATTGATTTATGTGTAGTAGGAATAAAGCTCAGAAAGAAATTAAGCGAGGATTAGACAACTAGGAAAATCATACCCAGCAAGCCTTTCCAGCCAATGATTCCACCTCACAAGCATAGCTTATATCCATCTGCTTCACCCAGTTAGGGTCTAAATCAGCACCACATTTCACCAGTGGGGCGGGAATTGCCTTTTCCACAGTCTCCTAGATTCCAGTTACGCACCTGGGCCTCCCTTATTTTCATGTCAGTCACTATTAATCATGTAGGGATTCCTGGCTACCCCGAGGTGAATCCAATGGCTGTGAGTGTCAAACACACACTCCTTGTTGCTCCTTAGTTTCCTGTGTACCCAGTGTGCTCTCCGTCTCTCCACAGTCGTCTTGTCATTCTCCCCACCTCATTCCCAGCATTTGAGGCAGAGCCTCTTCCTTCCACATCAGATTGTTTTCAGCTTTCTGCCTTCACGGCTGACAGCTGTGTGTGGAAAATCCTTCCGCCAATCTTTCAGGGGTTCAATCCGTGTTTTTCATTAATGTCACAAATATCTGATTAGTGAGATCTTCTCTGTCACCCAAAATCATACACTCAGCATTATGTATTATTTATTTTAAATTCTGGCTGGGCACAGTGGCTCACGCCAGTTATCCCAGTACTTTAGGATGCTGAGACGGTCGGATCACTTGAGGTTGGGAGTTTCAGAGAAGCTTGGCGAAGATGGTGAAACATCCTCTACAAAAAATATACAAAAAGAATTAGCCGGGCATGGTGGCAGTTGCCTGTAATCCCAGCTACTTGAGAGGCTGACGCAGGAGAATCACTTGGATCCAGAAGGTGCAGGTTGCAGTGAGCCAAGATGGTGACACTGCACTGTAGCCTGGAAGACAGAGGGAGACTCTGTCTCAATAAACAAATGAAGAAACAAACAAATAGATTTCATACACAGATGCTTCCCAATGGATCATTCATTTATTGGTCCACTTGTGCATTCATTTTCTGCCCTCCCATTTAACCATCTGCAATATCAGTGTCCAAAGAGCAGAGGCCAAATGCATCTTGTTCACTGTTTGTGGAAGGCAGGAGAATGCTGTCCCACCCCAAAATGTCCCTGTCCTAGCCTCCATAGCTTGTGAATATCTTATTTTACATGGAAAGGAGGAATGAAGATTGCAGATGGAATTATGGTTGCTAATCAGCTGAACTTAAAACAAGGGTATCCTGAATGATTTCCGGGAGATTATGATGGATTTTCATCTTGGTGAACCCAATAGAATCCCCAAGTTTTCAAAAGATGAGGAAGAAGGGAGAGCAGCATTCAGAGAAAGAGGTGTGGTAAGGAAGAAGGGTCTGAGTGATGCCATGTGAGATGTGACCAGTCTTTGTGGGCTTTGAGGAAGGAGGAAGGGGACCAGGAGCGAAGGAATGTGGGAGCCTCTAGAAGCTGAGAAAAGTGAGAAGCAGATTCTTGCCTGGAATCCTCAGAGGGAAGGCAGCCTTGCTGTCACCTTGATTTTAGCCCAGTGAGATGCACTTCATACTTTGAGCTACAGCACTGTAAGATAATTAAAAAACCGTTTTGTTTTCACCCACGAATCTTGTGGAAATTTGTTATGGCAACAATAGGAAAAGCTTCCACAGTGCACAGCCTGAGCATGGGGCCGTGGCTGAATGAGTCAGTGAGTCGAAGTGTGCGTGCATGAGCTCTGTTCTCTGTTACAGCAAGGCTCTTTCTCTGCTGAGTCAGCCAGGGTTGCTTCATGACCTATAGGAGCTCATTCCTTGGCAAGTGGAACTTCTCTAAAACACCTCGCCCTCATCAGATGTTCCCTTCCCTTCCCTCTCTCAAGTCTCCAGGAATTTATCCTCCAGTTAGGAATGCAGGCAGAACAAACATTGCATTTTTCCTGAGAAGGATGTCAGATTGGCAATCATTCTTCTAGCTTGTAGGAAGTCTCAGCTCCATAAAATGAGAGATGAAGAGATTTCACTGAGCCCTGTGTTGGACCCAGATCCCTTTCGCTGTAGGAGTATCTGGAGTTCGGAGATGGTGGAAGACAGGGGTACAATGTCAGAGCTGTGAGATGCTGAGTCAACGCCTGAATCCAAGGTTTCCACCTCCCCAGGTTTCCAAAAGCGGATATAAGAGGGTTCTGTACTCACCGGTTTTGGAGCTTGGTTCAGTGGGTGAAGGCCAACTATTTGAAGGGTTTCCTAGAACATGAGACAGGAGAGAGGTGAGGAAATGAGGGTGTCTGTCCTCTACTCAGTGGAAATCTTTGAGGATGGTTCATGGCCAACACTCTGTTATCTAATATTGGGCCCTGGGAGTCCTGGGATCCTTTTTTCCATAATTTTTTTATGTGACGCCCACTGTCTTGAGACTTCAAGGTATAAAGAGAAAACAGGAGCATCACACTACCTGATCTCAAAATATGTTACAGAGCTGTAGTAAGCAAAACAGCATGACATTGGCATAAAGAAAGGGACATAGAACAACGGAGCAGAATGAATAACACAGATATATTCCATGCATTTACATCCAATGGTTTTTTATTTTTTCTTTTGAGATGGAGTCTTGCTCTGTCACTCAGGCTGGAGTGCAGAGGTGCAATCTCAGTTCACTGCAACCTCAGCCTCCTGGGTTCAATCATTCTCTTGCCTCAAACTCCTGAGTAGTGGTATTACAGGTGCTGACCACCATGCTCAGCTAATTTTTATATTTTTAGTGGAGACGATGTTTCATCACGTCGTCCAGACTGATCTTGAACTCCTGGCCTCAGGTAATCCACCCGCCTCGGCCTCCCAAAGTGCTGAAATTGCAGGTGTCAGCCACCAAGCCCAGCCCATCCAATGGACTTTGACAAAGGTGCCAAGAACTCACAATCAGGAAAGGACAGTCTTTTCAATAAACAGTGCAGGGAAACCTGGACATCGACATGCAGAGGAATGAAACTGCACCTCTACCTGTCACCATACACAAAAATCAAATGAAAATGGATTAAAGATGTGAGTCTAAGGCCTGAACCTATGAAACACGTAGAACAAAATATTGGGGAAATGCTCCAGGACATTTGTCTGAAGAAAGACATTTTGTTTTAAACCTTGAAAACACAAGTAATCGAAGCAAAAATAGACCATTGGGATTACCTCAAACTAAGCAACTTCTGCACTGCTAAAAATAAACCAACAAAGTGAAGAGACAACCCACAGATTGGGAGCAAATATGTGCAAACTATGCATCTGAGATGGGATTAATAACTAGAAATATAAGAAGCTCAAACAACTCAATAAAACAAATGATTTAATTGAAAAAGGAGCAGAAGACATGAAATTTCCCCACATACTAAAAAGTGCTCAGTATCACTCATCATCAGAGAAACGCAAATTAAAATCAAAGTGAGTTTTCATCTCACCCCATTAAAATGGCTTTTAGGCCGGGCGTGGTGGCTCACGTCTGTCATCCTAGAACTTTGAGAGCCTGAGGTGGGTGAATCTCATAAGGTCAGGAGTTTGAGACCAGTCTGACCCACATAGAGAAACACTGTCTCTACTAAAAATACAAAAATTAGTCGGGCGTGGTGGAGTGTGCCTGTAATTCCAGCTACTCGGGAGGCTGAGGCAGGAGAATCGCTTGAACCTGGGAGGTGGAGGTTGTGGTGAGCCGAGATAGCGCCACTGCACTCCTGCCTGGGTGAGAAGAGCAAAACTCCATCTCAAAATAAAATGAAATAAAATAAAATGGCTTTTAGCTGCAAGACAGGCAAAAGAAATGCTGGCAAGGTGGTAGAGAAAGGAGAACCCTGGTACCCTGTTGGGAGGAGTGTAAATTAGTACAGCGATTACGGAGAAAAGTATGGAAGTCCTTTAAAGAACTAAAAAGAGGTTGGGTGTGGTGGATCAGGCCTGTAATCCCGGCACTTTGGGAGACTGAGGCGGGCATCTCAGTTGAGGTCATGAGTTTGAGAGCAGCCCAGCCAACATGGGGAAACCCCATCTATACTAAAAAAAACAAAAAGTAGCCAGGCATGGTGGCGTGCACCTGTAATCCCAGCTACTAGGGAGGCTGAGGCAGGAAAATCATTTGAACCCAGGAGGCAGAGGTTGCAATGAGCCAAGATGACATCACTTGTACTCCAGCCTGGGCACAGAGGGAAACTGTCTCAAAAACAAAAACAAAACAACAAACGAAAAACTAAAAAGAGAACTTTCATAGTATCCAGCAATTTCACTACTGGGTTTATATCCAAAGGAAAGTAAATCAATATATCGAAGTGATATCTGCACTCGTATGATTGGTGCAGCACTGTTCACAGTAGCCAAGATGTGGAGTCAACCTACCTGCCCATCAGTGGATGAATGGATAGAGAGAATGTAGTACATACGCACAGTGGAGACTACTCATCCATAGAAAGAATAACATCCTGATATTTGCAGCCACATGGATGGAACTGGAAGTCATTACAAAGATTCCCATTTCTCACCCATATACAGAGCTAAAAGGTGGATCTCATGAAGGTAGAGAGTAGAATGATGGCTTCCAGAGGCCAGGAAGAAAAGGGTGGAGGGTAAAAAAAAAAAAAAAAAATATATATATATAAATGTATTTATGACCACTAGACTTTACACTTAAAAATGGTAAATGTGGCTGGGCGTGGTGGCTCATGCCTGTAATCCCAGCACTTTGGGAGGCACATGCGGGTGGATCACGTGGTCAGGAGTTGGAGACCAGCTCGACCAACATGGTGAAACCACCTCTCTACTAAAAATACAAAAAGTAGCCTGGCGTGGTGGTGCGCGCCTGTAGCACCAGCTACTCAGGTGGCTGAGGCAAGAGAATCGCTTGAACCCAGGAGGCGGAAATTGCAGTGAGCTGAGATTGTGCCACTGCACTCCAGCATAGGGGACAGAGCTAGACTCTGCCTCAAAAAAAAAAAAAATGTTAAAGGTGGTAAGCTATATAGGTATATTTATCCTCAATAAATATTTCTTCAAACAAAAGTAAAGGGTGTAGGGGTTGCTGGTGATGACATCCCTGTGTGGGTGAGAGGCCAGGATGGGCTTCTGGGAAATGGATAATGTTGAGGGGCTGAGGGAACCTCTGATCTTCCCAAACTGAGCCCAGTCTCTCTCCTCTGGGTCTCTCCTGACCGTTTTCTCCATCTGCCTGTGTGCCTGGAGCCCTGGCCGCGGGCCTTCATGCAGGCCGTGTAGGAGGGTTTGGAGGTGCCCTGTCTGCCATCCTGTGCCCTGATCCCTCCCTCACACCCAAGCTTCGTCTTCTCTCTGCATCTGTCCATGCTTCTCTCCATCATCAGCAGGAAGCTCCTCAGCTAAGGCTCTAGGATCATAGGACATGAGACAGATATGGGGTTTCCTCACCTGTGACAGAAACAAGCAGTGGGTCACTCGAGTTTGACCACTCATAGGGAGAGTCACGGAAAGAGCCGAAGCATCTGTAGGTTCCTCCGTGGGTGGCAGGGCCCAGAGGAAAGTCGGCCTGGAATGTTCCGTTGACCTTGGGCCCTGCAGAGAACCTACGTTCATGGGCCTCCCCCTCCCTGGATAGATGGTACATGTCATAGGAGCTCCGGGAGCTGCAGGACAAGGTCACGCTCTCTCCTGCCAAAACCGTGGGGCCCGGCTGGGCTGAGAGAGAAGGTTTCTCATATAGACCTGGAAGGAGAAGAGGCATTTTCCTCGGGGAGGATCTTCCTTGTCACAGCTCCCTTCACCTGAGCTGAGAACTCACTCCCCTGCTCTATGACCTAATGCTCTCTCTCTCTCTCTCTCACCCTCCACCCCATCTCTCTTCATGTCTATTTCCTCCTTCCACCTTCTCTGTCTCTCTAGGTCTCTGACCTCGCTTCCCCACCTCTAGATATGTTTTCCCTTTTTGGATTCTTTTATTCTCTCTGACTCTCCTTGGATTGGTTGACTTGATGTTACTTTTTTAAATTCTAAGTTTCTCACGTTGTGTCCTGTTCATAACTTTCTGCATATTTCTATCTATTATCTGTCGATCTATCTATTTATCTATTCGGTGCCTATCTACAAATTCTCTACCTGTCATCTATATCTATATATCATCTATGTATCTATCAGTTGTCTATCTATCCATCAATCATCTGTTATTTATATGTATGTATCATCTCTCTCTCTATGATTTCTGTCTGCCTCTCTATCTGTACGTATTATCTATCTGTCTTCATCATCATCATCTCTATGTATTATCTATTAATGAATCAATCAATCATCATCTATGTATCTTTAACCTATTATCTATCATCTACCTATTTATCATCTATCTATATCTATCCATCTATCATCTGTCTTGCTCTGCCTCTCGGTCTCTCTAGTTCTCTTTGGAATCTCTGCAGTTCATCCCCACATCTCCATCTTTCTATGTCCTTGTGCCTCTCCCTCAGGACTCTAATTTTAGTGCTTTTCTCTGCTCCCTTCCATCATTCTCACCACTCCTCTGCCCTCTTTTCTCTCTCTTTATGTGTCAGTGAGTCTCTCAATCTCCTTCCTCTGGCCCATTCTCTGTGTGTTTATGTCTTTGCTTTTTGGTGTTCCTGATTTCTCTCTGTGCCTCTCAGTGATCCTTTCATATGTGGGGTTATTTGGAATGTGAGCCTCAGAATCCAGTCTGGAGACCACAAGTTCACACAGCATACAGGGGTTGGTGTTCTGGGGCCATGATATCCTGGGACGGTTACTCTCCATTACATGGAAGGCAGAGGTGTCAGAATAAACATGGCCTGTAGGTGCCACAAGGCCTGAGGCCACAGGGCCCAACTCAGGTCAGAAATATGGGTGTCCTTGGGTTCTCCTGGTAGAGAACACTTTGTGGAGGTAAAACAGAAATGAAACTTCTATCCTGTGCCAGGTCTGTGAGCAAAGTCAGCATGGAGGGACACCTCTCTCTGGGACATGTCTGTCTGTCTGTCTCCTTTAACTCTTTCTGTCTTTTCTAACTCCCTGTATGGCCCCTGTGTCTGTCCTCCGTTATGACACCTGGTCTGTACTTGTGTCTCCTGTTTCTCTGTCTCTGTTGGTACAAACCTCAGCAAGTCAGTCTCTCTCCATAAGAATACCAAGCTCATCTTCCTTACAACTACCTGGGGGTTCCAAGTCGTGGATCATTCACTCTGCAGCCCAATGACAATGAGAATGTCCGGACACTCTCACCTGTGATGACGATGTCCAGAGGGTCACTGGGAGCTGACAACTGATAGGGGGAGTGAGTAACAGAACCGTAGCATCTGTAGGTCCCTGCAAGGTCTTGCATCATGGGACCGATGGAGAAGTTGGCCTTGGAGACCCCATCATGGTGCTCTCCAATGAGGTGCAAAGTGTCCTTATACTTCCCCTCTCTGTGCAGAAGGAAGTGCTCAAACCTGACATCTGACCAACATTGCAGGATGACTGTCTCTTCTGATTTCACCAGGGGACCTGGGTGGGCCAGGAGGGAAGGTTTTCTGTGGACTCCTAAGAAGAGAGGTTGTGAGTTTAGAAGGTGTCTCTCTTTATCATCCCATCCATGGCACCTAGAATGAGTGAGGCTTCCCCTTGCTGGTGTCTGTCTCTCTCCTTCCTCTCTGTGTCTTCATGTTCTTTTCTGTGCCCATAACTCCTGGTGCAGGTCCTTCCATCTGTCTCCCTCCCTCTTCTCTGTCCCTCTGTCTCTAGTAGCCTCTGATTCCCTTCCCACTGGGCTTAGCCTCATCTCTTGGGGTGTTGTATCTATTTCACACTAACGTCTTTCCTGCTGTTTATGTGGGGGTGAAAGAGGAACCAGGATAGGCTGCACATCCAGGCTCTTATCAGCCTTGTTCAATCTCTTTTGGATGAATTGCAATCCTTGGCAGAAGGTATGAACTGATGAATAAGGCAGGCACCAGTGTCCACACACCCTGTTCCTGGTCGGGACTGGGAGCCACTCTTGCCATGCCTGTGCCTTCTCCATGGTGCCAGCTTCCATAGGCTGGCTCCTGGTGCTGGTTGGAGGAGTATCAACCCCTCCCTATGTGGATGGAGCCTGGTGGTGGCATCATCATCCCACCCTTGCTGATCTCAGGGTAGCCAACCTTCTCCTTGTTTGGTTTCTTTAATTAATTAATTAATTTTGGAGACAGAGTCTCACTCCTTCACCCAGGCTGGAGTGAAGTGGTGTGGTCTAGGCTCACTGCAACCTCTGTTTCCTGGGTTCAAGTGATTCTCCTGCCCTCAGCCTCCTGAGTCGCTAGGATTACATGCGCCTGCCACCATGCCTGGCTTTCCTTGGGTTGTTTCTTAACTTGTCCTTGACCTGGGTTCCAGTGTTGGTTTCCTGTTGCTGCTGTACAAAATTATCAGAAGCATGGAAGCAGGAGAGACCACACTGACACCTTCCAGTACTGGAGACAGAAATTGGACCCTATTTTTCCTGGGCTAAAATCAAGGCATCTGCAGGGCTTCGTTTCCTCTGGAGACTCTGGAGAATCAGTTCCTTGACTTTTCCAGCCTCTATAGGCCACCTGCATTCATGGCTCTTGGCCTTCCTCCACCTTCAAAGCTGGTGAAGACTTCCACTGGACTGCTCTAATCCCCACTCCCCTCTTCCTCCTCCTTTCATGTGCACCCTTGTGATTACACTGAGCCCAGTGGGACAGTCCAGGCTGTCTCCCCATGAGCTCCATCTTCCCCTTCAGTCCCTTCCCCTATAACATACATAGTCACAGACTCCAGGGATTAGAATGTAGTCATCACTGGGGACAATTATTCTTCCCACCACAGCACCCATTTCCCTGTATTCAATCCCCCTTTACCACAAATACAGTCAGGGCCTGCGTGATGGGACCCTCAAGGACATGCCCACCAGAAGCTCTGGGATTCAGGAGGTGGGACAAGGAGAATCCAAGACAGGAGCCCTCTGACCTATGACCACGATCACCAGGGGGTTGCTGGGTGCTGACCACCCACTGGGGGAGTGTGTGTGTGAACCCCGACATCTGTATGTCCCTGTTGTGCGGGGGTCACAGGGCCCATGAAAAGGCTGTTCCAGAATATTCTGTTGTAGAGCTCAGGGACAGGCACCCCACCTTCCTTGTACAGACTGAAGTTGTTAAACCCAAGATAAGAGTGACACCGAAGAATGACATGTCCTAGAGGCACCACAAGGCTGGGCCAGGCAGACAGCAAGGGCTTGTCCTGACCACCTTGGGGAGAAGGAGGCGCCGCCTTAGAGAGGAGGATGTGGAACTGCCCCTCCCTCCCTGTGCTCAGAAGATTCTCCTCGCTTTCCACGTTTCTATGGCTACTATCACACCTTGGTGCCCAGGGCTGAAGGAAGGACCCATCCCGCAAAGACATGGTGTCTCCCTACAACAAAAGCCTCAGCTGAGAACTTTGAGCAAGTGCTGAGTAAAGAGACTCCTACTAGATTTTAATACTGTAAGATTACTCACATAAAACAACACAGGGTAGACATGAGGTGGAGGGCATGTCCTTTGTGAGTGGATATCAGCGGATGCCTGAACGAAAATAAACAACTGAGCCCCCATCAGAGGATTTGGAATGTCAGGGCCATGGCTGTGGTTTCCCACCTCTTCTGGTAGAATGACAGCAGCCACACTGCAGCCCCTACCATCATGGAAACGCTGAAGTGTGTGAGTAACACCTTTGTCCTCAGAGGATCTGCTGTTCCTACCACTTCCCCACCACACACCCCAGCTTTGAGCACCCCAGTCTAACCCTGGTCCCCACAGAACTTGACTCTGCCAAGGGGTTGAGAGGCCAGGGAGGCAAGGTCAGAAATGTGGGCCGAGCACCCCAGGGTCCTCTCTTCCCAGTTTATGAGAGACTCCCTGACAGGACTTCCCTCCTGTTTCAGGAAAATCCTCTTATGTGGGGAGATGACAACCGAAGGTTTGGAGAAGGACTCACCCTCATGTGGCCAGGCCCCCTGCAGCAAGAAGAACCCTGGAAAGAAAGATCATGATGGACCATCCATCTGCAGGCAAACCAGGACTCCCTTGCTGCCCCCACTGGGCTGTGAGTCTTGGCAGCCAGGCCCTTCCTGGGCTGAAGTTAAACTCACCCTCAGTGCCTACCTGCACCCAAGAACAGGGCTGTCGGCTGTGCAGAGACCCAGTTTCCAGGCCCAGATCCCCACCACAAGCCCATATCTCCACTCCAGGCTGATATTTCCACCCTAGGCCCATATCTCCAATCCAGTCCCATATCTCTGCCCCAGGCCCAGATCTCCACCCTAAGCCCATATCTCCACTCCAGGCCCATATCACCTCTCCAGTCCCATATCTCCACACCCAGGCCCATATCTCCTTCCTAGGCCCATATCTCCACTCCAGGCCCAGATATCCACCTCTAGGCCCATAACTCCACTCCTGGCCCATATCTCCACTCCAGGCCCATATCTCTACTGCAGGCCCGTATCTCCACCTCCAGATCCATATCTCCACTCCAGGCCCATATCTCCACTCCAGGCCCATATCTCTACTGCAGGCCCATATCTCCATCTCCAGGCCCATATCTCCATCTCCAGGCCCATGTCTCCACTACAAGCCCATATCTCTACTGCAGGCCCATATCTCAACCTCCAGGCCCATATCTCCACTCCAGGCCCAGATCTCCACTTCTAGGCCCATCACTCCATCTCTAGGCCCATAACTCCACTTCCAGGCCTATATCTCCAACTCTGGGCCCCGATCTCCATCCCCGCACTCCCTCCCTCGATTCCCTTCCAGGACTCACCAACACACGCCATGCTGACGACCATGAGCGACATGGTGCTGTCTGTGCAGACAGGCGGCCGCGCCCCAGCTCAGCTCAGCAGCGCACAGGATGTTATTTGGCGCCCTGCCCATGCAGTTTACATGTTGACCACATCATGGGAGGGTGACGTACGCAGGCTCTTTCTACCTTGCATGAGGCCCAGTGGGTGCTCGCTCAAGAGCGGAACATGGCTTCCTGGAAATTGTTCTCACTAGAATTGACACCTTGCGTCCTTCACTACGACCAGACTCAAAAGACGTCTCAGATCCAACCTCTCATACACGAGATGATTGAATTCTGTGCTTACATTAAAGATTTTTGATGTATTTTTGTTTTTATCTGAGATTCAAACTCTTCTTCATATGTAATGTGCAAAATGTCTAACAGGTATTATTAACATTATCAGAGTAATTGTGACAAGAAGCCATTCTAATTTTCCTGCTTGAGTTTCTAGTACTAAACCAGAGGCATCAGAATAGCTTGAACCTGGGAGGCGGAGGTTGCAGTGAGCTGAGCTCAAGCCACTGAACTCCAGCTTGGGTGACAGAGGAAGAGTCTGTCTCAAGAAAAAAAAAAAGCAAACTAAATAACCTATAATAACAAATCAGAGGACTCAGGTTACCAAATTTTAAGGGGTTCTATAAGTTTATATAAAATGCAGCATCCTCATGAGAGGGGATACAGAGAACCACTGGACAGAAAACTGTGTCTAAAATACATCTGTGGATACACAGTCCCTTTATAGTTGACAAAGGCTGCCATGTAGTTTAAGGTGGAATAGAATATTTTCTCAACAAATAACACAGGACCATAGGGTTACACGTAGGAAAAAATAAATCTAAACTTATCCTCACACTATAAAAACACTTCTTATTTTTTATCTTGTTGTTGTAAATTTTTTATGCTTTATTTTTAAGATTGACAAATAAAAATTATATACCATGGTCCTTCACTATACCTGGGTGATTGGTTCCAGGATCCCCATTCAGATACCAAAATCTGCAGATGCTCAAGCCCCTTGCATGAAATGGCATAGTGAAGCTGGGCACCGTGGCTCACGCCCGTAATCCCAGCACTTTGGGAGGCTGAGCTGGGTAGATCACAAGGTCAGGAGTTCAAGACCAGCTGGTCCAACATTCTGAAACCCCGTCTCTACTAAAAATACACACACAAAAAAATTTATCTGTGCAGGGTGGCACGTGCCTGTAATCCTAGGGGAGGCTACTGAGGAGGCTGAGGGAAGAGAATCGCTTGAACCTGGAAGGCGGAGGTTGCAGTGAGTTGAGATCACGCCACTGCACTCCAGCCTGGGTGAGAGAGTGAGACTGTCTCAAAAAAAAAAATAGCATAGCAATTGCATAGAACCCATGCACATCCTCCTGTATACATGAAATCATCTCTTGATTACTTATAATTCCTGACACAGCCTACACGCCACTCAATTTGTGTCGATTCAACATAGTTTTTTGCTTTTTGAAACTTCGGGGATTTTTTTTCTCAAAATATTTTTGATTTATTGCTGATTCAATAAACATGTGTAAACCCCAGAGATATGGAGGAGTGACTGTCTATTTATAGTAGTATGAAAGATGATGTGTTGATACGTGTCCCTGTGGAGATGAGACTAACAAGGCCTATGACTCTACAAATGTTTCATCGTGGAATGACTCTGCCAGCTTTCCAGATCTGCAGAGAGTAAGAATATCACTTGTTCATCTGATTCACCATCCTTGGAACCTCCTATGTGCTGCATCTTTGGATGGAAACTGGAGTCTCAGAGACAATTCAGGCTCCACCCTGCTTCCAGAAGCTCAGAGTCCAGGGGTGAGAACCCAGCGGAGAACAGATGGGGTTATGTGGACGTGGTAATGATAACACCGGAAGCCTTAGGCAAGAAAAGAGTCCCATTGACGAAACCATGAGGGCAGACATGTTTACTTGAAGAATAGAAAACTACATTGAAATTATAAAAAAAATTTATAAGTTTTACTGCTGACAGAAGGCTGAAAGATACTCTGAGGAAAGGTGGAACAACATGAGGAAAGGTGGAATAGCATGTATCTAAGTGCCGTGTTAAGAGGGAGCCTCTTATATGTTTGGAATTGTGAGTTCCTCAGTGTGATCGCAGCCTCAAGTAGACTAGGAAGTAAGCCAGTTAGGTTGGAGAGGTGGGCAGGGGTCAAGTGAAATGGAGAATTGTGGGCTAAGCAAAGGAGTGTGTTTTCTCTCCAGCAGGCAGTGGGGACCTTAGACATTTGTAAGCAAGAGAGAGGCATGTTCAGATTCGTGGTGTGAGGAAGAGCGATGCCCTAAGATGCAGACTCACGCCTTCAGATTCCAGCTGCTGGTACATGGGAGCTGGCAACCCGGTTTTGAGACAGGGCTATTGTCTCCCTAGAAGATCCCATCAAGGCCTGACTGTGGTGCTGGTGGACAGAAGACAACTTTGGATCTGCGCTCAGCATTTGGAAGTTCCGTGTTACACGCTGGTATCTGTTGGGGGTGTCTTGGGCCTCTGAGAAGGGCGAGTGATTTTTCTCTGTGTGAAAACGCAGTGATTCAACTGTGCGTATGTCACCTCCTGAGGGTCTTGTTCATCAGAGTCCTGGAGGGAGGGAAATGCTGAGTGAGGGAGGGTGCTCACATTTTTCAGGACTCTTTGGGAATAAGACTAGCCATGAGGCTGGGCTGAGGAGCACCTACCTCCCTGTTCACTGTTCTGTTCCCTGCAGGCTCTTGGTCCATTACAACAGCATCTGTAGAAGACGGAAGTCGTCAAAACAGCTCGGAGGGCACTTCTGGGTCCTCATTTCATAAGCAGATACCAACATGCAGGGGGAGGCCATAGGTGCCTGAGGTCCCTCAGTTGCCAACAGCAGACTCAGACATTCTATCTCTCTGAGCTCAAGGACCCATCCCATGAATAGCTCTGAGTTCCCATCCCATTGATTCTGTCTCCCACTTTCTGCCTGTCATGGAACCTTCTCCTGGATGTGAGTGGCTGCAGGGGATGTGAGGATATGGTTCAGAATCAGGCAATGGTCTGTGAGCTGAAGGCAGGGGCAGGGAGTCTGGTGCTCTCTCTAGAAAGTCCTGCCTCTGTGGCTCCTGCCTTGGGTCAGGGACCATCCTGCCTGTAAGGAACACACACCTGAGTGCTCCCATCCTGCTTCCCCACATGGCCCTGAGCTCTCTGGCTTCTGCTTCGTGAGACTTACTCTTTTTGTTGGCACACCAGCGATGAAGGAGAAAGAAGAGGAGGATAGCAAAGGGGATGATGACCACTGAGGTCCCAATCAGAGCGTGCAGGTATCTGGAGTTACCTGGAGGAAGACAAGACACCAATAAGAAGCTAATCATAGCAGTTCCTCTATATGAATTGTCTCACATTTCTTGATTGACAGGTAACCACATACAACGTCTCTTTAGGACAAGCACCCAGATGGCGGGAGACCTAGCTTCCTCCTGCTTTCTCAGTTGTAGTAACCATAGAACGTGCTGAGGATACAACTGCTTTAGTTTAGATGTTTGACCACTTCAAACCTCACATTGAAATGTAACCCCCAGGGTGGGAGGTTGGGCCTCTTGGGAGGTGTTTGGGTCATGGAGGTGGATCCATCATGAACAGATCAATGCTGTCCCAAGGAGATGGGGTTAGCAAGTTCCCCCTCTATTAGTTCCTGGAGAGCTGGTTGTTAAAAAGAACTTGGAAGCTCCATCGCTCCCCCTCCCCCTTGCTCCCTCTCTTGCCGTGTGATCTCTGTGGTCTCTGCACAGATAGACCCTCCTTCCCTTCTGCCAGAGCGGGAGCAGCCTGAGGCCGTCACAAGAAATAGATGCTGGTGCCATGCTTCCAGTACAGCCTGCAGAACTGTGAGGCAAACACATTTCTTTTCTTTAGAAGTTACCCAGGCTCAAGTGTTCCTTTAGAGCAACAAAAATGGACTAAGACAGCAAAGTCCTGAGATCAGGAGGAACATCCCAGAACAGCCTGGGCTGTCTTCCTGTTCTTCCTGGAGGAGGACGTCATGCAGTGCTTTAGCTGAGTGCTTCCTGTGGCTCCAGGGTACAAAACCCAGGCTGGGCTGCTTTTTGATTTCCCCCAGATACACTGCATATGGGGTGACTCCACATGTCTCGAGCAGCTTTTCTGAGCCTTGAGGGACTGGCTCACATTGAAATGTAGGCTTCTGTTGTCACTCGCTGCTTATCTGTTAGTAATGAACCTGCCTGTGTAATGTGTTCTCTGTGTGTTCTGTCTCCCTGGAGTGACGGTGAGTGATAGGAATTGGTATAGGCCCAGGTACATTCCAGGAGGTGTTTAGAGTCTTCTCTGGGAAGACTGGATTGGGATTGATACACAGCGAATGTGCTTTACAGTTTCTACCACCACAACCCTCTTGACTCAAAAAAATTACATTCTCCAAGAAAAGAAAGAAAAAATGAAATCAAGATAAAAAAAGTGAAGTAGAACTGACTTAAATCAAACAGCCATGAAATAATGATGTAGCCCAGGAACAACATGCTACTTTTTGTGATCTGCTGAGACATATATTAGGCTGCTATTCCACCCGAGAAGCACGGGGAAGGACCGCCCTCTCCGTCGTTTATTGTTTCAATACAGCCTGTCCTTCTGTGAGTTAGTACGAAATGTGACCAGGGGCTAGTGCTGGCACTGGTCTCTGAGTCCAAGATCTGAGCTCACTCCAAAGAGTATTAGTGTTTACCTCCCCATGATCTATCTGTATCTCCATAGGTGATTGGAAGTAGAGATGAATTGGGGGATTTGGGTGAAGGGGCAAGTTTTATGCCATGAACAGAGCACGTTCTCTATTCCAGGACCTGTGCTGGTGGGTTCAGGAGGCTTTCACATTTTCCATATGATCCCAAGCTCACAGAAAGCCAAATAAGGAAGAGGTTTAACCTGATTGTTTAATGGATAAGATAAAGGGTCAAAGAATTAAACACAGAGAAATAGAAAAATGATGGTTGGTATCCAGTTGCCTTTGTAATTTCTGTGTGTCATAATTATGTATGTTTTATTTTTATTTTTTGAGACAGAGTCCCCCTGTGTCAGGCTGGAGTGCAGTGATGCGATCTCAGTTCAACCTCTGCCTCCAGGGTTGAAGCCATTCTTCTGCTTCAGCCTCCCCAGTCGCTGGGATTACAGGCAGGTGCCAATGCACCAGGCTAATTTTTGTATTTTTAGTACAGACGGGGTTTCACCATGTTGGCCAGGCTGGTCTCAAACTCCTACCCTTAAGTGATCTACCCGCCTTGGCCTCCCAAAGTGTTGGGTTACAGGTGTGAGCCCCCATCCACAGTCTTGTATATTATATTATACTAGGTCCCTTCATTTGCACCACCCCTCATGTGTCTATCGCTCCTCTGCCAGGTATTGATTTAGATGTAGAAAAAAAACACATCTCAGAAAGAAATTAATGAAACAAGGATTAAACTACTAGGAAAAATCAAACCCAGCAAGCCCTCCCTGCAAATGATTCTACCTCACAAGCATAGCTTATATCCATCTTTCATTCATTTAGTGTGTAAATCAACCCTACGTTTCACCAGTGGGGCGGGAATTGCCTTTTCCACGGTCTCCTAGATTCCAGTTACGCACCTGGGCCTCCCTTATTTTCATGTCGGTCACTGTTAATCAGGTAGGGATTCCTAGTTAGCTCTGAGTTGAATCCAAGGGCTGTGAGTATCAAAAACATGCTCCTTGTTCCTCCTTAGTTTCCTGTGTACCCAGTGTGCTCTCCATCTCTCTACAGTTGTCTTGTCATTCTCCCCATCTCATTCCCAGCATTTGAGGCAGAGCCTCTTCCTTGAACTAAGAATGTTTCCACCTTTGTGCCTTCACGGCTGAGAGCTCAGTGTGGAAAATCCTTCCGCCAATCTTCCAAGGGTTGAATCCATTTTTTCCATTAAGGTCACAAATATTATCTGATCAGTGAGACCTTCTCTGTCACCTGAAATTATATACTCAGCATTATCTATTACTTATTTTAAATCCTGGCTGGGCGCAGTAGCTCTCGCCTGTAATCTTTGCACTTAGGGACGCTAAGGCGGTGGGATCACTTGAGATTGGGAGTTTGAGACAGCCTGCACAACATGGTGAAACCTCATTTCTACTAAAAAATATACCAAAAAAATTAGCCGAGTGTGGTGGCGCACAGCTGTAATCCCAGCTACTCGGTAGGCTGAGGCAGGAGAATTGCATGAACCCAGGAGGCAGAGGTTGCAATGAGCTGAGATTGTGCTACTGCACTCCAGCCTGTGGAACAGAGAGAGACTCTACTCAAAAAAAAAAAAGAAAACAAAAAACACACACACACACAAAAAACCCCAGATTTGGTGCACAGATGCTTCCCAATGGATCATTCATTTATTGGTACCCTTGTGCATTCATTCTCTGCCCTCGCATTTACCCATCTGCAATATCAGCGTCCCAAGAGCAGAGGCCAAATGCATCCTGTTTACCATTTGTGGAAGGCAGGAGAATGCTGCCCCACCCCCAAAATGTCCCTGTCTTAGCCTCCATAGCTTGTGAATATGTTATTTTACAGGAAAGGAGGAATGAAGATTGCAGATGGCATTACGGTTGCTAATCAGCTGAACTTAAAAAGAGGGTACGCTGGATGATTTTAGGGAGATTGAGATGGATTATCTTGGTGACCCCAATAGAATCCCAAAGTCCTTAAAAGATGAGGAAGAAGGCAGAGCAGGATTCAGAGAAAAAGGTATGGGTAAAGAAGAAGAGTCTGAATGATGCCATGTGAGACGTGACCAGCCTTTGTGGGCTTTGAGGAAGGAGGAAGGAGGAAGGGGACCAGGGGCCCAGGAACGTGGGAGCCTCTAGGAGCTGGGAAACGTTAAGGAGCAGATTCTTGCTTGGAACCTTAAAAAGAAATCCAGCCTTACTGTCCCTTTGATATCAGCCCAGTGAAATGCAGTTCATACTTCTGAGTTACAGCACTGTGAGATAATTAAGAAAAACATGTTTTCATCCACGAAGCTTGTGGAAATTTGTTATGGCAACAATAGGAAAAGATTCCACACTGCACAGCCAGAGCATGGGGCATTGGCTGAACGAGTGAGTGAGTGGAAGTGTCGTGTGCATAAATAAGCTAAATTCTCTCTTACTGCACGTCTCTTGCTCTGCTGAGTCAACCAGGGTTGCATCTGGTACACTGCTGATACGAATGCAAATTAGTACAGCCATTACAGAGGAGAAGAGTATGGAAGTTCCTCAAAAAATAAAATGAGGTCGGGCACAGTGGTTCATGCCTGTAATCCCAGCACATTGGGAGGCCGAGGTGGGTAGGTCACTTGAGGTCAGGAGTTGAAGAGCAGCCTGGCCAATATAGCGAAACTCTGTCTCTACTAAAAATATAAAAATTAGCCGAGTGTGGTGGTGGGAGCCAGTAACCCAGCTACTTGGGAGGCTGAGGCTGGGGAATCTCTTGAATCCTGGAGGTGGAGGTTGCAGTGAGCCCAGATGGCACCACTGCACTCCAGCCTGGGCAACAAGAGTGAAACTGTCTAAAAAAAACAAAAACAAAAACAAAAACCATAAAACAAAATGTAAAAAGACACTTCCAGAGGATCTAGCAATTCCATGACTGGGTGTAAACCCAAAGGAAAGGACATCAGCGTATCGAAGTGACATCTGCACTCCCATGACTGTTCCAGCAGTGTTCACAGTAGCCAAGATGTGGATCAACCTACCTGCCCATCAGTGGGTGAATGGATGGAGAGAATGTGGTACACACACACAATAGGGACAACTCATCCATAGAAAGAGTAACATCCTGTCATTTACAGCCACATGAATGGAACTGGAGGTCATTACAAGTATTTCCATTTCTCACTCATATGCAGGAGCTAAAAGGTGGATCTCACAAAGGTAGAGAGTAGAATGGTGGCTACCAGAGGCCAGGAAGGGAAGGGTGGAGGGTAAAAAAAAAAGAATACTAATTAATTAATTAATTAATTTTGAGAGAGTGTCTCTCTCTGTTGCCCAGGCTGCAGTGCAGTGGCATGATCTCAGCTCACTGCAACCTCCGCCTCCTGCAATTAAGTGCAACTCCTGCCCAACCCTCCCAAGTAGCTGGGACTACAGGCATGTGCCACCATGCTCGGCTAATTATTATCATTATTATTATTATTTTGTATTTTTAGTACAGATGGATTTTCCCCATGTTGGCCAGGGTGGTCTTGAGCCCCTGATCTCAAATGATCCACCTGCCTTGGCCTCTCAAAGTGTTGGGATTACAACAGTGAGCCACCGTGCCCAGCCTATAAATGTATTTATGAACAGTAGACTTCACACTTAAAAATGGTAAAGGTGGTAAATTACATAGGTATATTTCACCTCAATAAATATTTCTTCAAACAAAAAGAAAAGGGTGTAGGCGTTGCTGGTGATGACATCTCTCTGTGGGTGACAGGCCAGGATGGGCTTCTGGGAAGTGGGTAAGGTTGAGGGGCTGAGAGAACCTCTGATCTCCCCAGGCAGAGCCCAGTCTCCCTCCTCTGGGTCTGTTCTGACCTCTTTCTCCATCTGCCTGGGTGCCTGGAACCCTGATCAAGGGCCTCCTTGCAGGCCATACAGGAGGGTTTGGAGGTGCCCTGTCTGCCATCCTGCCCCCTGACCCCGCCCTTACACCCATGCTGTGTGTTCTGTCTCGGCATCTGTCCATGCTTCTCTCCATCATCAGCAGGAAGCTCCTCAGCTATGGCTCTAGGATCACAAGACATGGGACAGGCATGGTGTTTTCTCACCTGTGACAGAAACGGGCAGTGGGTCACTCGGGTCTGACCACGCGTGGGGCAGGGCACGGAAAGAGCCGAAGCATCTGTAGTTCCCTCCGTGGGTCACAGGGCCCAGAGGGAAGTTGGCCTGGAATGTTCCATTGACCCTCAGCACCGCAGTGAGCCTAAGTTCACCGGCCTCTGCCTCCCTGGATAGATGGTAAATGTCAAACAAGCTCCGGGAGCTGCAGGACAAGGTCACATTCTCTCCTGCCTGAACCGTGGGGCCCGGCTGGGCTGAGAGAGAAGGTTTCCCATATAGACCTGGAAGGAGAAGAGGTGGTTTCCTCAGGGAGGTTCTTCGTTGTCACAGCTCTCCTCACACCTGAGCTGAGAACTCACTCCCCTGCTCTATGACTTAATGCTCTCTTTCTCTCTCTCACCCTCCACCCCCATCTCTCTTCATGTCTATTTCCTCCTTCCACCTTCTCTGTCTCTCTAGGTCTCTGACCTCACTTCTCCATCCCTAGCTATGTTTTCTTTTTTTGTACCATTTTATTCTCTCTGACCCTCCTTGGACTGGTTGACTTGATCTTCCTCTTTCTTTAATTCTGAGTCTCTCACTTTCTGTCTTGCTCATAACTTTCTGCATATTTCTATCTACTATCTATTGATCGATCTATCATTTATCTATGTATGTATCTATCATCTATCATCATCTGTGTATCTATGACCTATCTCTCTGTTATCTATCATCTATCAATCAATGTATGTATGTATGCATCTATCCATCTATCATCATGTGTTTATCTTTCTATCTCTCTATATCTATTTATATATCATCTGTCTGTCTTTCTACTTGTCTATCTATATCATCTATCAGTCATTCATCATCTATTTGTCTATCACCTGTCTCTCTATTATCTATCATCTACCTTTTATCTTTCATCTATCTATATCTATCTATCCATCTATCATCTGTCTCTCTCCATCTCCTTGTCTTTCTCTGCCTCTCAGTCTCTCTAGTTCCCTTTTGGAGTCTCTGCAATCCATCCCCACATCTTTATCTTTCCCTGTCTTTGTGCCCCTCCCTCAGGGCTCTGATTTTAGGGCTTTTCTCTGCTTCCTTCCATCATACGCTCCACTTCTCTGCCCTCTTTTTCTATCTCTTTATGTGTCTGTGAGTCTCTCAATTCCCTTCTTCTGGCTCATTCTGTGTGTGTGTTCATGTCTTTGCTTTTTGATTTCCCTGATTTCACTCCGTGTCTCTCTGTGGGCTTTTGTTCTCAGTAATCCTATAACATGTGGTGCTATTTGAATATGAGCCTCAGAATCCAGTATGGGGACTCCAGGAACTCACAACATACAGGGGTTGGTGTTCTGCTCCCTCACCTGGGGCCATGGTGTCCTGCGACGACGACAGCTCCACTGCACGGAAGGCAGAGGTTTAAGAATAAACACAGCATCTGTAGGTGCCACCAGCCTGGGGCCACACGGCCCAACTCAGGCCAGATAGATGTGTCTCTTTGGGTTCTCCTGGGAGAGAACACTTTGTAGAGGTAAAACAGAATGGAACCTTCTAACCTGTGCCTGGTCTCTGAACAAAGTCAGCATAGAAGGACACCTCTCTCTGGGATATATCTGTCTCTCTGTGTCTTCTTTACCTCTTTATCTCTTTTTCTAACACCTTGTATGGCCCCTGTGTCTGGCTTCTATGTTATGACATGAGGTCTGTACTTGTGTCTCCTGTTTCTCTGCCTTTGTTGGTACAGACCTCACCAAGTCACTTTCTCTCCATAGGAACCCCACACTCATCTTCCTCATGACCACCTGGGGCTTCCAGTCCTAGATCATTCACTCCATCTCCCAGCAAGGGTGAGAGGCAGGTCTGTATTCTCTCACCTACGACCACGATGTCCAGAGGGTCACTGGGAGCCGACAACTCATAGGGTAAGTGAGTGACAGAACCAAAGCATCTGTAGGTCCCTGCAAGGGCAGGTGTCATGGGACCCATGGAATAGTTGACCTGGGAACCCGCATCGTGGAGCTGTCCAATGAGGCGCAAGGGGTCCTCAGTGATCCCCTCTCTGTGCAGAAGGAAGCGCTCAAACCTGACATCTGACCAACATTGCAGGATGACCGTCTCTCCCGATTTCACCAGGGGACCTGGGTGGGCCAGGAGGGAAGGTTTTCTGTGGACTCCTAAGAAGAGAGGTTGTGAGTTCAGAAGGCGTCTCCCTTTCTCATCCCATTCATGGGACCTGAAATAAGTGAGGCTTCCCCTCCATGGTGTCTATCTCTCTCCTTCCTCTCTGTGTCTCCGTGTTCTTTTGTGCCCATAACCCCTGTTGCAGGTCCCTCCATCTGTCTCCCTCCCTCTTCCCTGTCTCTCTGTCTCTAGTAGCCCTGATTCCCTTCCCACTGTGCTCAGTGTCACCTCTTATGCTGTTGTATCTGTTTCCCACTAATCTCTTTCCTGGTGTTTATGTGGGGGTGGAAGAGGAACCACGACAGGCTGCATGTCCAGGCTCTTAGCAGCCTGAATCAATCTCTTTTGGACAGATTGGAAAGGCTGGCAGGAGGTACGAACTCATCAGTAAGGCAGGCATCAGTGTCCCTGTTCCTGATGGGGATTGGGAGCCTCTCCTGTCATGTCTGTGCCTTCTCCATGGCCCCAGCTTCCATAGGGTGGCCCCTGGTGCTGGTTCCAGGAGCATCAACCCCTCCCTATGTGGATCGAGCCTGGTGGTAGCATCAGTATCCCACCCATGCTAAAATCAGTGTAGCCAACCTTCTCCTTGTTTGGTTTCTTAACTTGTGCTTCACCTGGGTTCCTGTGTTGGTTTCCTGTTGCTGCTGGAGAAAATTGTCACAAACATGGGGCAGGAGAGAATACAATGACCCCTTCCACTTCTGGAGAACAGAAATCGGACCCAGTTCTCTCTGGGCTAAAATCAAGGCATCTACAGGGCTGTGTTTCCTCTGGAGACTCAGGGAAGAATCAGTTCCCTTGACTTCTCCAGCCCTTAGAGGCCAACTGCCTTTGTGGCTCATGGCCTTCCCCCATCTTCAAAGCCCGCTGTGGCTGATGGAGTCTCCCTCCCACGACGTTGCTCTAACCCCACTTTCCTCTTCCTCCTCCTCTCATGAGGACCCTTGTGATTACTCTGAGCACAGCAGGACAGTCCAGGCTGTCTCCCCATCGCAAGGTCAACCCATCAACAACCTGAGCTCCATCTTCCCCTTCAGTCCCCTGCCCTATGACATAAATAGTCACAGGGTTCATGGATTACCATGTAGCCATCACTGGGGACAATTATTCTTCCCACCACAGCAACTATTTCTCTGTACTGAATCCCCCTTTACCCCAAATACAGTCTGGGCCTGGATGATTGGACCCTGATGGACACCCCCACCAGAAGCTCTGGGATTCAGGAGGTGGGACAGTGAGAAGCCCAGACAGAAAGCCTCTGACCTGTGACCATGATCACCACAGGGTTGCTGGGTGCCGACCACCCAGTGGGGGAGTGTGGGTGTGAACTGCAACATCTGTAGGTCCCTGCATGTGCTGGGGTCACAGGGCCCATGAGAAAGCTGTTCCGGAATATTCTGTTGTAGAGCTCAGGGACAGGCATCCCGTCTTCTTTGGACAGACTGAATTCGTTAAACCCAAGACGAGAGCGACACTGAAGAGTCACATGTTGTCCTTCAGACACCACAGTGCCGGGCCAGGCAGAGAGGAAGGGCTTGTCCTGACCACCTGGGGGAGAAGGAGGCACTACCTTAGAGAGGAGGATGTGGAGCCGCCCCTCCCTCCCTGTGCTCAGAAGATTCTCCCATTTCCACGTTTCTAAGGCTCCTACCACACCTGGGTGCCCAGGGCTACAGGAAGGACCCATCCCGCATAGACATGGCGTCTCCCTACAGCAAGTGTCAGCTGAGAACTTTGAGCAGGTGCTGAAGAAGCGACTCTTACTAGATTTTAACACTGCAAAATTACTTACATAAAAGAACACAAGGTAGACACAGGATGGAGGGCATGATCAGCTAATGCATGAACCATAATAAACAACTGAGCCCCTATTAGAAGATCTGGAATGTCAGGGTCATGACTGTGGTTCCCCCACCTCTTAGGTAGAATGACAGCAGCCACATTGCAGCCCCTACCGTCATGGAAACGCTGGAGGGTGTGAGTTATGCTCTTGTCCTCAGAGGCCTGTTGTTCCTTGCACTGCTTCTCTCCCTTCCTCTGCCGGTGACACCACTTCCTCCCTGCACACCACTCCTTTGAGCACTTCAGTCTCCCCCTGGGTCCCCACAGACTCAGCCAAGGGAAAGAAAGGCCGGGGAGGGCTAGGACAGAACTGTGGCGAAGCTTCCCCTGGCTTCCTTTTCCTAGTTCATGAGAGATTCCCACATGGCTTCCCATGGTCAGCCCATCAGTCAACCCCCTGTGTCGCCTGCCTCCCGTTTCAGGAACATCATCTTATGTGGGGAGATGACAACCTAAGGTTTGGGGGAAGGACTCACCCACATGTGGCCAGGGCCCCTCCAGCAAGAAGAACCCTGGAAAGAAAGATCATGATGGATGATCCATCTGTACATCACCTCCAGGCCCATATCTCCACTCCAGGCCCATATCTCCACTTCCGTCCTATATCTCTACTCCAGGCCCATATCTCCACTCCAGGCCTATATCTCCACCTCTGTCCTATATCTCTACTCCAGGCCCATATCTACACTCCAGGCCCATATCTCCACCTCCAGGCCTGTATCTCCACCTCCAGGCCCGTGTCTCCATTCCAGGCCCATATCTGCACTCCAAGCCAACATCTCCACTCCAGGCCCATATCTCTACTCCAGGCCCATATCTACAGTTCCAGGCCCATATCTCCACCTCCAGGCCCATATCTCCACTCTAGGCCCATATCTCCACCTCCAGGCCCGTATCTCAATTCCAGGTCCATATCTGCACTCCAAGCCAATATCTCCACTCCAGGCCCATATCTACAGTTCCAGGCCCATATCTCTACTCCAGGCCCATATCTCTACTTCAGGCCCATATCTACAGTTCCAGGCCCATATCTCCACTCCAGGCCCATATCTCCACCCCAGGCCCATATCTCCACTCCAGGCCTATATCTCCACTCCAGGCCCATATCTCCACTCCAGGCCCATATCTCCACTCCAGGCCCAGATCTCCACCCCACCGCTCCCTCCCTCGATTCCCTTCCAGGACTCACCAACACACGCCATGCTGACGACCATGAGCGACATGGTGCTGCCGGTGCAGACAGGCGGCTGCGCCCCAGCTCAGTTCAGCAGCACACAGGATGTTGTGAGGGGCTCATGCAGTTTACATGCTGACCACATCATGGGAGGATGACGTATGCAGGCTATTTCTACCTTGCATGAGGCCCAGTGGCTGTTTGGTCAAGAGCAGAACATGGCTTCCTGGAAATTGTTCCAACTAGAATTGACACCTTGCATCCTTCACTATAACCAACTCAAAACACGTCTCAGATCCAATCTCTCATACAGGAGATGACTGAATGCTTGGCTTACATTAAAGACTTTTGATGTATTTTTGTTGTTTTTATCTGAGATTCAAACTCTTCTTCATGTGCTATTTTCCCCAGGCTGTTCTTTGACTTCAGAGTTCAAGCAATCCTCCTGCCCCAGCATTTCTAGCAGCTGGCAGTATGTCACAATCTGCCACACCCAAGTCACAACTTTTAGAACTTTTTTTTTTTTTGAGATGCAATCTCACTTCGTCACCCAGTTTGGAATGCAGTGGTGAGACCTCGGCTCATTGCAGCCTCCACCTCCCAGGTTCACGCAATTCTCGTGCCTCAGCCTCCTAAGTAGCTGGATTTACAGGCACCCACCACCACGCCCACCTAATTTTTGTACTTTTAGTAGAGAGGAGGTTTCTCCATGTTGGCCAGGCTGGTCTTGAACTCCTAACCTCAAGTGATCTGTCTACTTCAGCCTCCCAAAGTGCTGAGATTACAGGTGTGAGCCACCATGCCTGGCCGGGACATTCTATATGTGTGCGTATGTGTGCATTTATATACATATGGTTATACACACACACACACACACACACACACACCCTAAGCACTCACATATATAGTTGTTTCAAATTTTAAAAAATATAAATTTTGTATTTTTCTTTCTTTTTCTCACATTTGTGTTTCTATGACACCATATACATATTGAATTTTATAGCTCTATTTTATTCTTTTGGATTGCAGTTTAATAGTCCATGCATAACTTTATCAACATGTAATTATCCATTCTTTTTATCATGGACATTTGTGTTGTTTCCGGATTTTCTCTTTTATAACTCGGGCCTTGATAATCGTGTTTCTGTGTGATCCCTTGCATACATATGCTGAATTAATTAGACATATTTACCTAGAAATGAAATTATTGGTTTTGGGTGCAAGTTGGTGTTGAGCTTAACCAGGAAGTGCCAAAATATTTCCATCATGACCAAATGTGGCCTGGAAAGTTTTTTGGGGTCAATTTTCCTGTTTCTTCTAAGGAACAAAATTGATGTCACTGATTTTTCTGTCCTGTTTGTCATTTATGAATGTATGTACATATGCACGTATATATTTGCTTGCCATTTTATGTTTTTCCTCGACGTTACTTTGGAATTAATTTGCTGATGTGTAGTATTTCTGCAAGTGAAAGTTACCTATTTACTCAGCTCTTCCTTCTTTTCTAACACAGACATTTGAGGCTTATTGTCCCTTAACGCTGTTCTATCTGTATCCCCAGTCATTTGCCGAGATGTGTTTTCATTTTTAATTGATACAAAATATTTTCCACCTTTCTTTGAAATGTTTTTCTTCCACTCATTGTTTATTGCTATGTGTGTTTATTAATTTTAAAATATTTGATAATTTCCCCAGCATTTCCTTGTTGTACATTTATAATTTAATTCAACTGTTTCATCTATCATATTACCTATGATTCAGCATTTAAAAATTTATTTTGGTGAATGTTCCAGGGGTGCTAGACAAGTTTGTGGATTAGGAAGATTTGAGGTGGATGTTTTCTAAATGTCAGTTAAGAAAAAAATCATTCAAATGTTTTTCTTTATTTAAAAAAAATAGAGACGGGGTCTCACTATGGTGCCCAGGCTGGTCTCAAACTCCTGGCCTCAAGTGATCCTCCCATTTTGGCCTCCCAAAGTGCTAGGATTATTGAAATTATTAAATGTTTCATATCAACACCCAACCTTATGCACCCGCCGCCTACACAAATGTTTTTCAAGTCTTTCATATGCTTAATAATTTTCTGTGTACTTGTTCTGGAAGTGAGGTGAATGTTGCTATCTCTAGCTGCAATTTGGATGTGATTGATTATGTTTTGAATTATGCCTTTAATTTAATGTGTTTTGAGGTTCCAGCTTTAAGTGTGTAGGCATTTAGGATGATTATGTCTTATTTATGAATTTGCCTCTTTGTCATTATGAAGTACTCCTCTTCATATCTCCATATATCTCTTCTTTGTATGTGCATGGTGAAATATTTCATTCTTTGAGTTAAGAAACTTCTATTGAGGAATACTTTTTATTACAAACATTTACCTATTCTATGTATACAACTGACTAGAAGCATATTTTGCACTGGGCATTATCATGACAAGGTAATGTCATTCTTTCAATATTTACATCTTGTGGATTAGTATTTGAAGTGCAGCTTATGTAGACAGCATAAGGTTGGGTGTTGATATGAAACATTTAATAATTGCACACGTATTTGCCTCTTGGGATACTTCCACTTTTTTGAATTTCAAGTTACTAAATGGTATCATTAATCTTTGCTTCAAGAGCTTAACATTTATTGTAGAACAATGCTTCATGTAATAAATTGTGAGACATTTTTAATGGCACCTTTATTGCAGGAAAATGTTTTCCTTTTCAGGTTGAAAGATTCTAGTTTGAAATATTTTCTTGTAGCACTTTAAAAATGTTGGTCCACCTGTTTCTTACTTTCATAGTTTTGAATACAAAGTTTGCTGTCATTCTTGTATTTCTTCTTCTGTTTTTTATTTATTTATTTTTGACAGAATATCTTGCCGTCTCACCCAGGCTGGAGTGCAGTGGCATGATCTTGGCTCACTGCAACCTCTGCCTTCCAGGTTTCAGCAATTCCTGCCTCAGCCTCCTGAGTAGCTGGGACTACAGGCATGCGCCACCATACCCAGCCAATTTTTTTTTTTGTATTTTTTTTTTGTAGAGATGAAGTTTTGCCATATTGGCCAGAACTCCTGACCTCAAATGATCCACCTGCTTTGGCCTCCCAAAGTGCTGGGATTACAGGTGTGAGCCACTGTGCTCAGGCTATTTATTCCTTTTTATATAATATGAATTCACATTCATACATACCAGGGGTTAGGATTTCAACAAACGTTTCTGGGGGAGACCACTCAAAACACAGCACTCATCCTTGGTTATTTCCAGCCATGGAGCCTGTATCAATATCCTGGTGAATTATCTAAGCTGTCCACCTACCTACCCCAAATCCTCATGGTCACATAAAAGGCTAGTATAGTATAATAATTTTTCTTTCCCTGCTTATCTACAGTGATGAAGAAACGAATATTCAAAGGGAAAAATCTTAGCTTTAGGTATAGGGTAATTCTTCTTCCTATTTTTAAATAACTTCAACCTTTACTGTAGATTAAAGGTATGCATGCAGGTTTGTTACATAGGCATATTGTGTGACTCTGAGGTTTGTGGTTCCAACAATGCCATCACCCAGGCAATGAGCATAGAATCCAACAGGTGTTTCTTCAGCCTATACCTCCCTACTCCTCCCCCCATCTGTAGTCCTCGGTATCTGTTGTTTCCATCTTTATGTTCATGTGTATTCAATGTTTGGTTCTCAGTTATAAGTGATAACATGTGGTATTTGGTTTTCTGTTCCTGGGTTAGTTCACTTAGGAGATTGACCTCCTGCTACATTCATGTTGCTGCAAAGGACATGATTTCATTATTTTTTATGGCCATGTAATGTTCCATGTGTATATGTAGCACATTTTCTTTAACTAATCCACTGTTGGTGAGCACTTAGGTTGACTGCAAATCTTTGCTATTCTGAATTGCACAGCAATGAATATACTAGTGCATGTGTCTTTTTGACATAGTTAATTACCTTCCTTTTGGTATATACCCAGTAGTGGGATTGCTTGATTGAATAGTAGTTCTATTTTAAGTTATTTGAGAAGTCTCCAAACTGCTTATCACATTGGCTGAACTAGTTAACATTCCCACCAAGAGTGTATAAGTGTTCCCTTTTCTCCACAATCTTGTCAGCATCTGTTATTAAAAAAAACAAAAAACTTTTTAGTAATTGCTTCTGCTTCTCTGATTGTTGTGAGATGGTATCTCACTGTGGTTTTAATTTGCATTTCTCTGATGATTACTGATAATAAGCATTTGTTCATATGTTTTTTGGCCATGTGTACATCTTCTTTTGAGAAGTGTCTGTTCATGTCATACTTAATTGAGGTTTTTTGGTTTTCTGCTTGTTGATTTGTTTACATTCCTTATAGATTCTGGATATTAGAACTTTGTCAGATGCATAGTTTGCAAATATTTTCTCCCAGTCTGTAGGTTATCTGTTTACTCTGTTGATACTTTCGTTTGCTGTGCAGAAGCTCTTCAGTTGAGTTAGGTCCCAATTTCTGTCTTTGTCACAATTGGTTTTGGGGAGTTAGCCATAAATTCTTTGCCAAAGTCTATCTTGAGAAGGATATTTCCTAGGTTTTCTTCTAGAATTTTAATATTTTGAGGTTTTACATTTAAATCTTTAAACTATCTTGGGTTAATTTTTGTATATAGTGAGAGTTAGGGGTCCAGTTCTATTATTTTGCATATGAGTAGTCAGTTATCCCAGAACTATTTATTGAAGAAAGGGTACTTTCCACATTGCTTGTTTTTGTCAATTTTTTCAAAGATGATTGTAGGTATGTAGCCTCATTTCTGGGTTCTCTATTCTGTCTCATTGGTCTATGTGTCTGTTTTTGTAGTAGTATCATGCTGTTTGGGTTACTATAGCATTGTAGTATAGTTTGAAGTTGGGTAATGTGATGCCTGGGCTTTGTTCTTTGTGCTTAGGATTCCTATGTGTATTCAGGCTCTTTTTTTGGTGCCAAATACATTTTAGAATAAATTTTTATAATTTCGTGAAAAATGACATTGCATTTTGAAATGGATAGCATTGACTCTGCAATTTGTTTTTGGAAGTATGGCGATTTTAACTATTTGTTCTCCTAATTCATGAGCATGGAATATTCTTCCATTTGTTTGTATCATTTCTTATTTCTTTCAGAAGTGTTTTGTAGTTCTCCTTGTAGAGAATTTTCACCTTCTTGGTTAGATGGATTCCTAGGTATTTTATTTTCTTTGTGGCTAGTGTAAATGGAATTGTGTTCTTGATTTAGTTCTCAGCTAGAATGTTAGTGGTGCATAGAAATGTTACTAATTTGTGTACATTTTTTTAATCCCGAAACTTTATTGAATTTGTTTATCAGTTTCAGGAGCCTTCTGACAGAGTCTTTAGGGTTTTCTATGTATAAAATTATTTCATCAGCAAAGAGAGACAGTATCACTACTTCTTTTCCAATTTTAATGCCTTTTATTTCCTTCTCTTGCCTGATTGCTTTGGCTAGGACTTCCAGTACCATGTTGAATTAAAATGGCGGGAGTGGTCATCTTGGTCTTGTTTCGGTTCTCAAGGGGTATGGTTCCAGCTTTTGCCCATCAATATGATGTTGGCTGTGGGTTTGTCATAGATGGCTCTTAATATTTTGAGGTATGTTCCTTTGATGCCTATTGACAGTTTTTATCATGAAGGGATGTTGGATTTTACAGAAAGCTTTTTTTGCATCTATTGAGATGATCATATAGTTTTTGTTTTTAATTATGTTTATGAGGTGAATCACATTCGTTGACTTTGTAGGTTGAACCAACCTTGCATCCCAAAAATAAAGCTTACTTGATCATGTGAATTAACTTTTGATGCACTGACAGATTCAATTTGCTAGCATTTTGTTGAGGATTTTATGTCTATGTTCATTAAGGATATTTAGTTGTAGTTTTCTTTTTTTCATTATGTCTCTGACAGATGTTGGTATCATGGTGATGATGGCTTCATAGAATGAGTTAGGAAGAAGCCCCCACTCCTTGATTTTTTCCAAAAGTTTCAGTAAGATCGGTATCAGTTCTTCTTTGTATGGCTGTTGGATTTTGGCTGTGAATCCGTCTGGTCCTGGGCTATTTTTAGTTAGTAGGGTTTTTATTACTGATTAAATTTCTGAACTTGTTATTGGTCTGTTCAGGTTTTCACTTTCTTCCTGGTTGAAATATGATAAATTTTGTGTTACCAGGAATTTATCCATTTCTTCTAGGTTTTCTAGCTTGTTTGTATAGAGGTGTTCATAATAGTCTTTGACGATCTTTTCTATTTCTGTGGGATTGTTCGTAACATTGTTTTGTCAGTTCTATTTGTGTTTATTTGGATCTTTTCTCTTTTTCTTTGTTAATCTAGCTAACAGTCTATGAATTTTGTTTATTTTTTTTCAAAGAAAAACTCTTGGTTTTATTTATCTCTTGTATGGACTTTTTGGTCTCAATTTATTCAGTTCTCTCTGACTTTAGTTATTTCTCATCTTTTGCTGGCCTTGGGTTTGGACTGTTCCTTTTTTTTAATAGTTCCTCTAGATGCAGTGTTAAGTCACTAATTTGAGATCTTTCTAAACTTCTGATGAGGCATGTATTGCTATAAATTTTCCTCTTATCACTGCTTTAACTGCATCCCAAAGGTTTTGGTAAGTTTGTTTCTATTTTTATTAATTTTAAATAATGTTTTGTGATTTCTGCTTTAATTTCATTGTTCACCCAAGAGTTCTCAAGGGGTACAGTTCCAGCTTTTGACCATTCAATATGATGTTGGCTGTGGATTTGTCATAGATGGCTCTTAATATTCATTCAGAAACAAGTTGTTAAATTTCCATGTTTTTCTGTAGTTTTGAGAGATCATCTTGGTATTTTTTTCTATTTTTATTGTGTGCCTTGTTATGATTTTGATTCTTTGAATTTATTGAGACTTGCTTTGTGGCCAGTCTTAGAATATGATATGTTTTTTGTGTGTGCAGATAAGAAGAATCTATATTCTGCAGTTGTTGGGTGGAGTACTCTGTAGATGTCTATGAGGTCCAATTGGTCAAGTGTTGTCTTTAAGACCAGAATTTCTTTGTTAGTTTTCTGTTTTAGTGATTCATCTGACGTTGTTAGTGGGATACTGAAGTCCCTTACTATTATTGTGTGGCTGTCTAACTCTTTTCATAGGTGAAGAATAACTTGTTTTATGAATCGGAGTGCTCCAAATTTGGGTGCATATATATTTAGAATAGTTAAGTCTTCTGTCAAATTGAACCCTTTATCATTTTGTAATGCCCTTCTTTGTCCTTCCTGATTGCTGTTGATTTAAAGTGTGTTTCATGTGATATAAGAATAGGAATGCCTTCCTTTTTTTTGTTTCCTGGTTGCCTAGTAAATATTTCTTCATCCTTTTACTTTGAGCCTGTGGGTGTCATTACATGTGAGATGGGTCTCTTGAAGACAGCAGGCAGTTGGCTCTTGGCTTTTTATCCACGTTGCCACTCTATGCCTTTTATGTGGGGAATTTAGGCCATTTACATTTCTTCTCCTGATATATCCTTTTTATATTTTTATGATTGCCTTTTAAAATATATTGAATGGTTGTAATTCCAGGGAAATGTCTTTCAGAACAGTATTTATTCCTATCTACATGTTTTGGAGAGTGCACTAGGGGACATTGAAGTTTATTTCCTGAAAAGAGTTTAATTTTAAAATGTATTTTATTTAATAACTCAATGATTCAGGGAATGTCTAGGTATTTCAGAGATTGTTTTAGACAGTTTGTTTTCTTGTGATATGTGACCACTTCATCTAAGCTGAATAATGTCTTCATAATGTCCACTTAGAATCTTTTGAATTCTGTAGGATCTGTACTGATGTCATTGTTTCCTTTCTGATATTGGTAATTTTCCTGGGGTAGGATTCTTAGCTCCTCCTGAGGTCCTGCCTCTAAAATTCAGGGAACAATGAGTCAGATTAGTACTCTGATTTCAAAGGGAAAGCTGATCATCTACCATTTTTTGTTTATGTAAATGGACACATTAACATCCCTTGTCTGAACCTTAGTTACCTTGTTTGGAGCATTTTGCTATAAATCTCACTTCTCAGAGTGGTTGTGGGGCTTGATGTGGCTGGGGTATGGGATGGCTTAAACATAATTTATTTCCAGACCAGGTTAAGGCATGAAGGGGTTGGGACTTGTTAGAATCCTGTTGTTGGACTCCACAGTAAGGGTAGACATTTGAGGCACCCAATCAAAAACCTCAGTTGTTCCTAGTACTGAGAAATTTGATAGAATGTTTCTAAAACATTATTCATGGTCTAATGCACAAAAAGTAAAGTGATAGCCCTGGAAGTAGACAGGGAACCATAAGAAAAAAGAGAGAGCAAAGCTCAGTGGTCACCAGTGCCTGGGACCATCAAGGGGTTATTAAGGAGGAAGTTTCCACCTCTGTGGGGAACAGAAGAGGCTCCCTAGGGTCCACACACACAGGGAGTGAGCCAAGACTCTGGGCGAGGCTGGAAGCTCTGGGTCTCCTTCTGTGAGATTTTCTTTTTTTTTTTTGAGATGGAGTCTTGCTCTGCCACCCAGGCTAGAGTGCAACGGCGCGATCTCGGCTCATGGCAACCTCTGCATAAAGTGGTATGTATTTAAGGCATGCATTAGACAAATTACTAAGTATTTACTAGATAAGAAAAAATTATATCTGAATCTTTTCAAATTGCCGTCTTATGCATTATATTCTCTTTTTATAGTGCAATTTCTTAATAGTTAATGCCAGAAGATTTTTTTTTCTTCCTTTCTTTCTTTCTTTTTTTTTTTTTTTGAGACAGAGTCTCACTCTGTTGCCAGGCTGGAGTGCAGTGGCACGATCTCGGCTCACTGCAACCTCCGTCTCTCGGGTTCACGCCATTCTCCCGCCTCAGCCTCCTGAGAAGCTGGGACTACAGGCACCCTCTACCATGCCCAGCTAATTTTTTTTTTTTTTGTATTTTTAGTAGAGACGGGGTTTCACCATGTTTGCCAGGATGATCTCTGTCTCTTGAACTCGTGATCCACCTGCCTTGGCTTCCCAAAGTGCTGGGATTACAGGCATGAGCCACTGCACCTGGTCGCCAAAAGATATTTTTAAAAACCTAAATGCCACTTGAAATGAATAAGACCCTCAATAATTCATGGGATATACATGTGAACTTATGACATATGATGAAATAAGCAGGTTACAAAATTGTAATATATCAAGCAAGGTAGAAAGCCATGGCAGAAAAAGAGACAAGCATTTTCAAGATAAGGAATGAAAGAGGGGAAACAGTACTATTGATTTTACAGATTTTACAAAGATATCTTAGGTGTGTTTTCCTAAATAATAAATGTACCCTCCTTTTGACCTTTATGTAATGAAATAACCATGCACACATTTTCAAATAATACTTCATTTACTTGACTTTATGCTTGAAAATTGAAGTATGGTGCTGTTTGTTATTTTCATTTATGCATTTTACTACCTTGTAATATTCCACTGAGTCTATTTACCACACTATGTTTATTTTTTTCGTAGGTGGACTTTGGTATTTTATAGCTTTGGCTAATAGGAACAGCATTCCTATAACAGTTGTGAGTGTATCATGACACATAAGTAGACATTTATCTCTAGGGTACATAATTAAGTACATAATTAAGAAGGGTCACAGCCGTGTGCCTCCTCTTTTTAACTAGATAATTCCAATACACTTCCTTAATTGATTAAAGCAATTTGTACTCTTACTATTAATGTACTAAAATTCTACATGTTCAATATTCTTTCCAAAAAATGATTTTGCTACTTTTTTCTTTTATTGAGACTGAGTCTTGCTCTATCACCCAGGCTGTAGTGATCTCGGCTCACTGCAACCTCCGCCTCCTGGGTTCATGCGATTCTCGTGCCTTGGCCTCCCAAGTAGCTGGGATTAACAGGCAGGCGCCACCATGTCTGGCTAATTTTTGTATTTTTAGTAGAGACAGGGTTTCACCATGTTGGCCAGGCTGGTCTCGAACTCCTGACCTCAGGTGATCCTCCTGCCTCGGCCTCCCAAAGTGTTGGGATTACAGGCATGAGCCACCACACCCGGCCTATTTTTTTCTTTTCCCTCCATTGTGCTATGATTTTTGACATTACAATTTTACTGAAACTACACCATAAGAATGAAGCAGAAATTATTATAACCTTTAAATAAACTTTACAACTGGTTCATACTCGTGTGAACGACAATTCTTTTGACTACTTCCCAACTGTGCATTCAATGGCGTCATATGGGCACCCTGAAGTTGGCCATAAAGGACGTATTTATACCACACTAATCAGCAAATACCATAAATCTGGGGCTTTATATGTTCAGAGTTTTCTTAAGAAAATAATTTTTTCAGAGAGCCAGTTTAACAGAATACCATGAGGCTGAGCCTTCGAGCGTTAGTGTGCTCATTCTGAGAGATGATATTTCTGGACGAAGTACACAGGTATCATCCGATGAAGAGTGAAGGGAATTCAGGGTCCAGAGAGGGTGCTAGGGCATCATTTCAGACTCATATTTCCCTTTTTTTTTTTTTTTTTGGAGATAGAGTCTTGCTCTGTTGCCCAGGCTGGAGTGCAGTGGCAAGATCTTGGCTCACTGCAACCTCCGCCTCCCGGGTTCAAGCTATTCTCCCACCTCAGCTTCCTGAGCAGCTGGGATTACAGGTGCTCACTGCCACACCCAGCTAATTTTTGTATCTTTTAGTAGAGACAGGGTTTCACCATGTTGGCCAGGTTGGTCTCGAACTTCTGACCTCAAGTGATCCGCCCACCTCAGCCTCCCAAAGTGCTGGGATTACAGGTGTGAGCCACTGTGCCTGGCCTCAGACTCATGTTTCAAAGTCCCAAATACAAATCTGCCCACCTATTCCAGTTATTTAATCCAGATCTATGCTCAGAACTGAAAAGATGGAGAATCAATAGTTCACTTTAGAGAATGCGGTAGTTGGAAACAAAGACAAATGTATTACAGGACAGTGGACCAGAGCACGTGATCGCAGGGGTGTGGATGCAAACCCACCATGGGGGACGTGCCTTCACATCACAGAGAGCGAAAGGAAGGGAGGGGCAGACACGGAGGATCCACAACAGCAGGACTGAAAGCACTGCCATTTAATGGAAGTTTAATGGAGGAAGCGTTCTCTACAGGCACCCAGACATCTCCCTGAACCTGACCCAAGCCTCCCCTTCTCGACTTTCTCAGTAGACGGTTTCCCGAATGATGGTCCAGACTTTCTTCCAGAACCTCCTAGGACTATCAGACTCATTGCCAAGGCTCTGGCACTCTGAAGGGTGCATTGTTCTCTCATGTATTTACCTCCTTGCTGCATCTTGGGGACTTCTCTAGCTGTGCCAATCCTAAAGCAGCAGAATCCCGAGGACCACCAGGACCAAGCCAGCCACAGCCACGCGGATGAGATTCTCCACTGTGTAATCCTGGGGGTGTGAGGCTGGGGATGGTGGACCAAGAGGTCTCAGAGGTCAGGGCAGATCAACATCACCCGGGACCCCTGGATGTCCACCCAGGGCACCCACCTCCCCTTCACAGGACCTGACCCTCTGTGCCAGCCCCATAACCGAGAGCATCTCCTTACACACCAGTCTTGGAGTCTGTCTTGTTTTGCGATGGGCTGAGGGTCTCAGCTGCTCCTGAGAATCAACCAAAAAAGGGGGAGGTGTGTGAGGAGTTGAAGAGACTTAAGCCAACATGTCCCTCAGTTGCTGCATTCCTTTGTGTCTACACTTCTCCTAACTGCTCTGTAGTTGTGTGATAGAACCTTTCCCTGCTGTGGCAGAGGTACATTCGCATACATACATACATATATGCATAGGTGTAAATATGTGTGTATACATAATATGTGTTATGCATATGTGTATACATAATATGTATTATGCATATGTGTATAGATAATATGTATTATGCATATGTGTATGCATAATATGTATTATAAGATATAGTGTGAGTATATATAAATATATAATATATAAGATATATAATAGTGTGTGTATACATATAAATATATAATAAGATATGTAATAGTGTGTACATATATAAATATATAATATATAATAAGATATATAATAGTGTGTATATATAAATATATAATACATAATATATTATAAGATATATAATAGTATGTATATATAAATATATAATACATAATATATAAGATATATAATAGTGTGTGTATATATAAATATATAATACATTATATATTATAAGATATATAATAGTATATATAAATATATAGTACATAATATATAATAAGATATATAATAGTGTGTGTATACATATAAATATATAATAAGATATGTAATAGTGTGTGCATATATAAATATATAATATATAATAAGATATATAATAGTGTATATATATAAATATATAATACATAATATATTATAAGATATATAATAGTATGTATATATAAATATATAATACATAATATATAAGATATATAATAGTGTGTGTATATATAAATATATAATACATTATATATTATAAGATATATAATAGTATATATAAATATATAGTACATAATATATAATAAGATATATAATAGTGTGTGTATATATAAATATATAATACATAATATATATTATAAGATATAATAATGTGTGGGTAATATAAATATATAATACATAACATATAAGATATATAATAGTGCATATATAAATATATAATACATAATATATATTATAAGATATAATAATGTGTGGGTATATATAAATATATAATACATAATATATATTATAAGATATAATAATGTGTGGGTATATATAAATATATAATACATAATATATAAGATATATAATAGTGTATATATAAATATATAATACATAATATATATTATAAGATATATAATAGTGTGTGAGTATATATAAACACATACATATATATTTGAAGTGAGAAGAGTATTATATAATTTAGAAACAAACAAGTTTGTCCTCCATTTTCTTGTGGTTAATGTAATTATTATCAATAAATCAGAAGAGATCATTTCGGAAAGGATTGAAAGGGAGTGTGTCTGTGGTAAGTTAATAGGAACTAAAATTAGCATACCCAAACCAATAGCTTTCTCATCCATACGTAACTAATTTTAGAAAATAGAAAGGAATCAAAGACTTTCAAATTATTCAAGTAGTAAAACAATGCTTAAAATTCACAATGTCCACAATTTTTATGAATACAACTTCAAGCATCTGCTAACTGTATAAAGTTTAATTTTAAATGTATTGGATAAAAAGACATTATTAATGAGAAGTTATTCTCCATCATGAATGCACATATTTAATTTAATCCCAAAGAAAATCAGAGCACAGTTATTTTACATCATAACGCTACCTAACAAATTAAATGTGTAAATTATAAATGCCAGCATTGCTTTGAAATCTTCAGAAACAGAAAGAGAAACTAGATATGTGGACATAAAAAATAAAGGACAGAAAGGAATTGCACACGAGGTTTGCTGTTGAATAATTTGCCTGCATTGCTGCAGTGAGCAGGTGCATGATCTCCCCTTCGTCTCAGGTATGCACTGAGTATTTTGGGGCCGCCAGGGGAGCCCAGGTGGGGAGTGGGTGGCGCCTCCATCTTCTACCCTCAGCCTAAGCATGATTCCTCCAAGGTTTCTCCATATCTCATTTCAGCCCTCCCTGGCCTTTAGCCCCATCTGAGGTCTCTGGGGTGGGAGCCCAGGATTAGGAGGTCCCTGACTATTTCCACCCTCTCATGGGCTGGGCCCTCCCCTGCCGACCCTCCCCCTTTACTCCCCTCTTTCCTTAGCGTCCTGAGCTCTCCTGGGGGCAGGGCCTGAGCTGAGGTTTGAGCTCAGAGAGGACAGGGTCAGCGGCCTCACCTGAGACCACGAGCTCCAGGGGGTCACTGGGGTGAGACAGCAGGTAGGGGAAGAATCTGCGTGAGCTGTAGCACCTGTAGGTCCCCGCGTGGGCTGAGGTCACAGGACTCATGGGGAATTCAGCCTGGTGCTGCTGAGCTTGGTGCTCTGATCTCAGACGCAGTGGGTGATGGGCTGCCCCCTCCTTGGTCAGAAGGAAAGTGTCCAACTGCTCCCGTGACTGACACAGCAGGGTCACGTTCTCTCCTGAGGCCACCGTGGGGCCCGGCTGCACCGAGAGGGAGGGTCTGCCACGGATCTGTCCTGGAGAGAAGAAGGATGGGTGAGGGGCTGCCCCACCTCGTTCTGAGCTGACACCTCCCCAGGCCTCTCCCTGGGACCCTCAGTGTCTCTGTCTCTGTTTTCTCTGAGTCTCCCCCTCCCCGCCCATCCCCTGTCTCTGTCTGTCTCTCCGTCCCTTAGGACCCCCACCCCTCATCCCGGCCATCACCACCTGGGCTCCCCCAGCAGGGCCTGTGCGGAGCCTGGGTCCCTGACTGAACCTGCTGGGCTCCTCACCTGCGATCAGGATGCTCAGGGGGTCACTGGGGGCCGACCACTCGGAGGAGAGGTTGTGTGCACCGTAGCATCTGTACTGGCCCCCGTGGGAGACCCTCACAGGGCCCAGGGTGAAGTTGGCCTGGGAGAGCCCAGCCTGGGGCTGCCGGCCAGAGCCCTGGACGAGGTCATGTCCCCCCTCCTTGTACAGAGTGAATTTGTCATAGCCGACATCAGAGCCACACTGGAGGGTCAGATTCTCCCCAGGGGCCACGACAGGGCCCTGCAGGGTCAGGAGGGAGGGCTTCCTAGACACGCCTGGAGGGAAAGAAGAGTCGGGACTAGGAGGGCTGGTTCCTCCCACACCCCTTCCTTCTCCCCTCCTGGCCCTGCAGGTCTCACTGTCTCTCACACTCAGTGTCTCTGGGCTCAGGAGTCCCAAACTTCCCTTGTTCCACCCTCCTACATGGGGCTCCGTGAGAGTAAGTTCTCAAAAATAAATAGGGCAAGGAGGAAGACATCCATACCTAAGACCAGGATCTCCATGGTATCACTGGGTTCCGACCACACCCAGGGGAAGTTCGTGTAATGCCCATAGCATCTGAACATCCACCGGTGACTGGCAGCCACACGGCCCACAGGGAACAGGGCCAGGGACAAGGGACAGCCCCTTGGAGAGTTCCTGTGAGTCCAGCATCCAGGAGAGCTTGTTTTCTCCTTCCTCAATCAAAATGAACCTGTGAAATCCCACCCTTGAGCTACACTGGATGGTCACGTTCTCTCCTGAGGTCACCACAGGGCTCGGCAGGGCTGAGAGAGTGGGTTTTCTGTGGGCTCCTAGGAGAGAAGGAGACACTGTCTTAAATGGGGCTCACGCGTCCCACATCATCCCCCAGGGCTGAGTTATTAGAACGGAGATGCCCTTGAGAGCTGACCCCCTTCCTGCAGGCAGAGCCTGGGGCTGGGACCCCTGAGTGTCCTCTTACCTGTCACCACCAGCTCCAGGGGCTCGCTGCGCTCTGACCAGCCTGCAGGGCTGAGATAGTGACAGTGGTATCTCCCTGCATGGTGCTCTCTCATGGATGGGATGAAGAAGTTGGTCTTGTTCCTGGGCTCTGGTGGGCTCTGTTGGTACCAGGTCATGGGGTTTCCTTCCTTGGTGAGATAGTAACCCTGGGTATCCAGGGTCCCCTGGCACCAGAGGGTCATGGGGCTCTCCCAGGTAATCACAGAGCCTGGCTCAGCCCAGAGGCTGGGTTTGGGGAGGGTCCCTGGAAGAAACCACAGGCTGGGGTCCACAGACCTCCCCCGCTCCTCATTCCCAGCTCAGGTCACAGACCCTCTTGATTTTCTCACCCTCAGTTCAGAAGCCCCTGAGATGAGAGTCCAGGTGCTGAGTGTGAGGTCAGGCATGGGAGGTTAGCAGAGACTCACCTGCAAGTGCTTGGGCTTTCTGGCCCAGACTCAGCCATGGAGAAGAGTTTCCTGTGGGGGATTTGGAACACAGAGGTGTGGCTGCTTCCCTTCCTGTTGGAGCACCAGTAGCCACTGGAGCCCTGAGGCTCTCTGGTGAACAAGGCTGCTGTGGGACCCTCCCCACCTCAGCCCAGTGCCCCTCCTGTCCCTCGTCTCTCCACCACTGACTGAGGCACAGAAGAACAGTGAGGATGGACACCATGATGCCTGCTCTGCGTGCTCCAGCTGTGGGACAGGTGACCACATGGCCCTCCATGACAGACAGATGCACGGATGTGGTTAAGTCAGAGCCTGCTGCCGCCTGCCTGGGTCCCCACAGCTGTGAACCCACAGGAAGTGGACAGCCCCTTGCTGGGCCTGTCTCTTATTCCCCCCCCAGTGCAGGGGCTCAGGAGGACCCAGGCCCTCTGCACACATCTCAGCCCAGACCTGAGGTGTCCCCTGATTGCCAGGGATCCTTTGTCTGAAAACCTGCCCGTGGAGGGTGGACCCAACATCATATCTATGTCAGCTCCCAACTTAGCTGGGTCTAAACTGAAAACACAGCCCTTATTTTCTCAGAGCCTCCACTCATGACATCGGCTTTCTTTTTCCCCACTGATGCAAAGACAAATATTTCCCAGCAGAAAGTCATCCTGATCTGGAGAGACCCATTTCCTGCGTTCAGTAAATAAAGTCAGTTTCATTAGGGGAGGCTCTGGGAAAATAAGGGGATGCAGACTAGCAGAAGATGAACATTTAGCTACTTGTTTCTCAATTAATTGATTTATTACCAAAGAGAGAGAAGTGGAAACATGAGAATAGGGACCATGACTAGAATGTGGTTGAGGGAATGGTTTCTATCTTATTCCCTGGCAGAGAACTAAGGGATAAGAATGAGAAAGCTGGCTGGGTGCAGTGGCTTACACCTGTAATCCCAGCACTTTGGGAGGCCGAGGCAGGAAGATCACAAGGTCAGGAGTTCAAGACCAGCCTGACCAACATGGTGAAACCCCTGTCTCTACTAAAAATACAAAAACTAGCTGGGTGTGCTGGCATGCGCCTGTAATCCCAGCTACTAGGGAGGCTGAGGTGGGAGAATCGCTTGAACCTGGGAGGTGGAGCTTGCAGTGAGCCGAGATCGCGCCACTGCACTCCAGCCTGGGCAACAAAGCCGGACTGTCTCAAAAAAAAAAAAAAAAAAAAAAAAAAAGAAAGAGAGAAAACCCAGCAGTGAGAGGTAGTTGTGAGAACACACTAAAGAGGAAAGATAATCCAGGGCTGGGAGTGGTGGCTCATGCCTGTAATTCCAGCACTTTGGGAGGCTGAGGCTGGCAGATCACAAGGTCAGGAGTTCGAGACCAGCCTGACCAACATGGTGAAACCCTGTGTCTACTAAAAATGCAAAAATTAGCTGGGTGTGGTGGTGGGTGCCTGTAATCCCAGCTACTCAGGAGGCTGAGGTGGGAGAATCGCTTGAACCCAGGAGACGGAGGTTGCAGTGAGCTGAGATTGCACCACTGCACTCCAGCATAGGCAACAAAGCCAGACTCTGCCAAAAACAAAAACAAAAACAAAAACAAAAACAAAAAACAAGAAAGCTCAGTGAGAGGTGGTTGTGAGAACACACTAAAGAGGAAAGATCATTCAGGGCTGGGAGTGGTGACTCACGCCTGTAATCCCAGCACTTTGGGGGGCCACAGGCGGGTGGATTACCTGAGGGCAGGAGTTCAAGACCAGTCTGGCCAACATGGTGAAACCTCGTCTCTACTAAAAATACAAAAACTAGCTGGGTGTGATGGCGGGTGCCTGTAATCCCAGCTACTTGAGAGGCTGAGTCAGGAGAATCTCTTGAACCCAGGAGGCAGAGGTTGCAGTGAGCTGGGATCGTGCCACTGTACTCTAGCCTGGGTAACAGAGCAAGGCTCTGTCTCAAAAAAATAAAAATTAGAAAGAAAAAAGGAGAAGGAGAAGAGGAAGGAGACAGAAAGGAGAGAAACATCCCTGAGGTGGAACATTACATGCAACATGGAGTAGGCAGGGAATCCGATAGAGCACTGAAACTCTCGCTGGGTACGGTGGCTAACATCTGTACTCCCAGCACTTTGGGTGGCCGAGGTGGATGGATCACCTGAGGTCAGGAGTTTAAGACCAGCCTGACCAACATGGTGAAACCCCATCTCTACTAAAAATACAAAAGGCTGGGTGTGGTGGCTCACGCCTGTAATCCCAACACTTTGGCAGTCTGATACAGGCGGATCACATGAGATCAGGAGTTTGAGACCAGCCTGGCCAAGATGGCAAAACCTCATCTCTACTAAAAATACAAACATTACCTGGCTGTGGTGGCAGTCGCCTGTAATCCCAGCTATGCAGGAGGCTGAGGCAGGAGAATCGCTTGAACCTGAGAGGTGGAGGTTGCAGTGAGTCAAGATCGTGCCATTGCACTCCAGCCTGGCCAATAGGAGCAAAACTCCATGTGAAAATAAAATAAAATAAAATAAAATATAATAAAATAAAATAATAAATCAAAAAAGGACTGGACATCTCCTGTGGGTTGTCAGTGAATGGAACTAAGCAAGCCACCGCTCTTTCCCTTTTGTCCCGCAAGTGTCTTTCTTGGCCTCCAGGAAGTGAGTTCCATCATGTCAGACCCTATGTTTGTTCCTGCTGGGTTCACTGAGGCTCCTCCCTTTCCACCTGTGGCTCCCCATGGGTTCCCAGTCCCCAGCCAGTGTTGTGAATCGAGCCAGGAAGACCAGCCCTATCACACCCCTCCTGATGGAATTCCCACAGTGTCATCCTGGAGAACAGGGGCTGGGGGCTGGGGTAGGATCAGAGACCTTTTCATGTGGGCCAGGCCCCTCCCTCCACAGGAGCTCTGACACGAAGCTCATCACCATTCATTTCACCCTGACGATATTCTTCCTGCCCAGACACCCCCGTTCTCCCTATGTCATCATGGGCACCTCAGTGAAATCCATGGTTGAGGGTCTCTGTCACTTACTCTGCCCTCTTCTTGGAAAATTTCCTTGGATCCTTCCAGAGCCCTTCCTGAGTGTGCTGCAGGGTCTCTGCCACATGACACACTCTCAGGAACCCTCATCCTCCCCTTAATCTACTGCGCCCACATAGCCAGGTGCAGGCTCCGTTTCTTCATCTTCCCTTCCCCACAGGCCCCGATGGAGAGTGGATTAGACTCGCTCCTGAGTAGGGACTCAGGTCACTCTGACCCCTTCCTCCCTGTGGACGAGGCCTCTGTCCCAGAGCTTTGGAGGCTGAAGGGCCTTGTGGATTCCCGCACTGGCCACAGTCTCCGATGCAGATGGGGAACTGGGGACCTGGGAGGGGTTGCCTAGCCCAAGGCCACATAGCTGGGCGGTGGCACAGCCTTCACTCACACAGGGACATTCCATCTTCCCAGGGACTTCACACTGGAGGCTAAGAGCCCCACTTTGCACACCACATTCAGGGGTAGATTCTGTGTGTGACTAACAAGTTCTCTTAGGGTTCCGAGGTAACAGGACAGCAAATGGATGAGTGAGAGTTTCCCTCACCCCACTGAAGTAGGACCATTCTCTGTGGAGGGTTGGTCCCCTGACTTCCTCTACTCTGTCATCTCCCTAGTGACTGATAGGGGTCCTGGGGTCTCTTCCCTGGAATCCCATGAGGGACAATTCCTTTCCTGAAGGGAAGGTATAGAGAGGACTAGCAGGTGCCTGGTGATGGAAAGTCCCCATAATCAAGAGACATTGCCTCCCCCCCCCGGCATGATAAATATCTGGGTTTCCAAATGGGAAATCTGTCTGTGATGAGAGCTCAGGAGGGGCTTCTGGAAGATGGAAAAGGGCTAGAGGCTGAGGCCACTGCTTATCTCCCCACACTGTATCTGGCTTCACCTCCTGTGTTTGTCCTGACCTCTTCCTTCACTCACCTGGATAAGTAGGACCCCAAAGTGGGCCTCCAGACAGGAAGCAGTGGAGAGTGTGGAGCTGCCCTGTCTACCACCCTACACCCTGACACCACTGTCATACTCAACCTCTCTTTTCCTCTTTGTGTTTCTCATTGCTTCATTTTGTCTGGAATCCCTAAGATTCCCATGTCTCCAGCAGGCTGTCCCTCAGACGTGGCTATATGATTTAGTGTTTCACAGGGCATGCAGCAGGCATGGGCTACCCCCAGTAACAGTGGTCATCTAGGGCTGATCACTCACAGGCAGAGCCATCGACAGAGAGCTGCAGCATCTAGAGGTCCCATCACCAGCCCCAAGACCCAGAGAGAAGTTGGCCTGAATGCCCCACTCTGTCTCTGCACCCCAGTGAGCCAGTGTCCAGGGGCCTTACCTTCCTCGTTAGAAGGCACAGGTCAAATGAGCTTCCAGAGCTGCAGAGCAAAGTCACATTCTCTCCATCATTACTTACTGCAGGGCACAGTTGAGCTGAGAAGGAAGGTCTCTTGTAGACGCCTGGGGAAAAAAATAGTCCTTGACTGTCGAGCACAAGCCTTACCCAGCCTATCCTCAGGGCATGAAAAAGGCATTCTCTCCACCTGTTCTGGGGAGCACACTCTGTTACCCACTCGTGCCTCTCTCCATCTCAGTTCTAGCTCTACAAGCTGGCTCATCATGTGTGTGTTTTCCTGTCTGTCTTTGCTCAGCTTTTCCTTGAATCTCTTGCTTTTTGCCGGTGCGTGTGTGGCTTTCTGCCCTTAGAACCATATGAGATTTAGGGTTCTCCTGGCACATAGAACTGTTTACTTTGAGGACCCTCAGAAAACATAGCCCTGGGCTAAGGCTCCCTGTCCTGGAACTAGAAGGTTATGGGTGTCACCATTTCCCAACAGCATGTCTGAAAGTGCCAGAATCTTCAAAGAGTCTGCAACATGTTTGTAGGATCTTTATAGGGTCTGATATTGCAGGGACCAACCAAGGTGCCCTCACACCCCAAGACGCTGGAAGTGACCCCTTGCTGAAAGTGGTTGGAAGTTTCACATAGAAGTTTGAGTTAAGCCACATTGCTGAGCAATGCCTCAGCATCCCAGTCTTCATCCAGACCTTCCAGGAGCCTGGCTGGAGGGGGTGTCTCTGGTGTGTCACTGAGCCTTATAGCAGAGGAAGGGGGCTATGGTGGAAACTACCTCCAAGATACCACTCAGTCCTAAGCTGGGGAACAAGCTGAGCTTGGATTCTGGTAGTGAATGAACCGGGAAACATTTATTTGAAGGGTTCTAAGAGTAGCATCGTGTGGGTGCGTTAATTGTATGTGAAGGGGAAGATCCTGAGAAAACAAGAGCTGCTCCACTCTGTGCCTGGGTTTACCAGAGGGACCGATGAGGTCCTCACAAGACCCAGGAATCCCACCGGGGGAAGGAGGCTTAGGGAGATGTGTTTAAGACTGTTAAGTGAGTCACAGACAGAAGCAGATCAAGCCATCCCACCACCTAGGTTTGTGGTTTTGTTTCTCCTAAACTTCCTTTCTGTAAGTAGCAGAACCTTCTCATCACCATCCTTCAAAACCTCTGCATTGTTTGAGCTCCTTGTATTTTCTGGAGATTAATCTCTTGCTTGCAAATATTCTTTCCCATTCTGTAGGTGGTCTCTTCACTCTGCTGTTTGTTTCCTTGATTGTGCAGAAGGTTTGCAGTTTGCTATGATCTCATTTGCCTATTTTTGCTTTTGCTGCCTGAGCTTTTGAGGGTTTTTTTTTTTTGTTTTTTTTTTTGAGACGGAGTCTCGCTCTGTCACCCAGGCTGGAGTTCAGTGGCATGATCTCAGCTCATTGCAACCTCCGCCTCCCGGGTTCAAGTGATTCTCCTGCCTCAGCCTCCCTAGTAGCTAGGACTACAGGCGAGTGCCACCACACCCGGCTAATTTTTGTATTTTTAGTAGAGGCAGGGTTTCACCACGTTTGGCCAGGCTGGTCTCAAACTCCTGACTTCAAGTGATCCACCCACCTTGGCCTCCCAAAGTGCTGGGATTACAGGCGTGAGCCACTGCGCCCGGCGTTGTATTGGATTTTTAATTCAGCCCTATTTTCTCCGACATTTGATATTGGCATTTTTGTCTTTTTTGGATATGCTAGGATCATGGTGTCATAATTTAATTTTAATTTTTATTTTTATTTTAAGTTCCGGGGTACATGTGCAGAATGTGTGGGCTTATTGCATAGGTCAATGTGCGCCATGGTGGTTTCCTGCACCTGTCAACCCATCACCTAGGTATTAAGCCCAGCATACATTAGCTATTTTTCCTAATGCTCTCCCTACCCCTACCCCACCCCCCCCCCGACAGGCCCCAGTGTGTGTTGTTCCCCTCCCTGTGTTCACGCATTCTCATTGTTCAGCACCCACTTGTAAGTGAGAACATGCAGCGTTTGATTTCCTGTTCCTGTGTTAGTTTCCTGAGGATAATGGTTTCCAGCTCCATCCATGTCCCTGCAAAGGACATGATCTTGTTTCTTTTTATGGCTTCATAGTATTCCGTGGTGTATATGTCTCACATTTTCTTTATCCAGTCTATCATTGATGGGCATTTGGGTTGATTCTATGTCTTTGCTATTGTGAATAGTGCTGCGATGAACACATGTGTGCATGTATCTTTGCAATAGAATGATTTATATTCCTTTGGGTATACGCGCAGTAATGGGACTGCTTTTACCTGTGCCAAAATACTGAAGTAGAAATGATTATTCACTCTAAAATGGAAGGTAATAAGATGTATACGTGAGCTATCAGATGCCTGGTGCTTATGAGTGAAGACAAGTCTGTCCAACGCTTCCCAACCCTGCATTCAGGGATGTCTCGTTGGCATCTTGATTATGGCCATGAAAAAAGAATTTACGTCAAGGAAATTGGTAAATGCCACTAATCATAGCATTTCAAAAAATGTCTTTTTCAGAATTAGCATACCATTGGGTCGTGACTTCAAATGCCAGTGTGTTGATTCCAGGTGGTGATATTTCAGGAGAAACTACACAGATAGCATCTGATAAGGAGGGAAGAGCTCATAGGGTCCACACAGGAGGTGAGGGCATCACGGTGCATTTATCTTTTCCTGGTCGGACTCTGATCTTCTCCCGTTGAATTAGTTCCTAAACCAGGTGCGGAACTCTGAACTGAAGACATGAAGACCCAGTAAAGTACACCAGGAAGTGTGGCAATGAGAAATGAAGAGGACTGTGTGACACGCCATGGACCAGAGCATGCAGGTGTGCAGAGGTGTGGACCCAACGCTGCCATGTGGGATGGAGCCTCATGTCTAAGTGTGGGAAAAGAGGCAGATCCAACCAAGGAAAGTCAACATTAATGGAGAGGAAAGGTATCACATTTTAATGGTTCTCCATGGATCACCCCAGAAAATGTCCCTGCACTCGGACATTGATTCCTTCCTCTGGAAATGACCAGCAGACAGTCCAGATAGCATCGGCCCTAGATTTTCTTCCAGAACCTCCTGGGATCATCAGATCTGTTCCTGAGGCTTCACGACTCTATAAAGTACATTATCCTCTCTGCTGTTCACCTCCCGGCTGCATCTTGGGAAGCTTCTCTGGCTGTGCCAAGCCTCAAATGACAGAATCCCGAGGACCACCAGGATCAAGCCAGCCACGCCCATGTGGATGAGATTCTCCACTGCGTAATCCTGAAGGTGTGAGGCTGGGGATGGTGGACAAAGAGGTCACAGAGGTCAGGGTGGATCAGATTGTCCACCCAGGGCACCCACCTCCCCTTCACAGGACCCAACCCTCAGTGCCAGCCCCATCACTGAGAGTATCTCCTCACATACCAGTCTCAGAGTCAGACTTGTTTTGTGATGGGCTGAGGGTATCAGCTGCTCCAGAGAATCAAAACAGAGAAAAAGAGACCTGAGCCCAGCCTCTCACCTGGGCTCTGCAATTTTTTTTTTATTACTTAATGTCTCATGATGTGACTTTTACAGAATTTCTAAAAAAAAAAAAAAAAAACCTCTTCCTCCGCTAGCAGGATTCCCTCTAGTCTCCTCATTGAACGATTTCAGTTTTCCTGTGTTCTATGGATTTAAACATTGCTCCTGAGTCATCTGGGAGAGAGTTTTCCTGCATCCTGAGAGCTCAGGATCTGCAAGGAAAGTGGTCCCCAGTACAGAGGTCACTAAGGCCTGTGTGCTCTCTGTGCAGCCTGGGACACAGGAGAACATGAGCCAACTCCCCCGGAGATGAGAGTTTCACGGATCCACCAGCTGAGGACCCAGGCTCCGTGGATGAGGGTTAGTCATCAGGGGAGCCTCAATGTCAGAAGCACAAAGGGGTGAAAGTCTGGGGCTGCCTCCCCTTCATGCCCTCAGCCACTTCACCTGGAGTTTCATTGTCCATTTAATCTCTAGGTAGCTAATTATTCGTATAGGCAGCAACAGGTAGAATGTGATACACACACAGAAAAACACAAACACAAATATATATCTGTTTTATATATATAGTGGGCCTTAAAAACTATCTCTGCCTTCTTGAAGTGTGGGTTCACCTGGAGACAAACAGCAAACATATAGAAACACAGCAGTGGAAATTTACTAGTCGTAGCAATGGTTTTAGATATATTGGTAGAGACCTATATTTATGTGTGAATATATATTATTTGTATAGATATACGGATAACTAGGTTTCAATGTCACGTAAGATGTTGGTGTGACCACACACGCGCACACACACACACACACGTATATGCAGAGAGTGGAAGAGAGAGAGAAGGAATTCAGCCGCATGGTGTAGGTTGGTTAATTACTTGACATAAATGAGAAGCAGGCAGGACTGGGCTGAGCTGTGTCGTCAGTGAAGGTCACACTTGGAGGTGACATTGAAGCTGATTCCTCAATAGGAAAAAGGGCCAGGAAGGAGGCGTGTGGAGACCCAGACAGGGAGCAACAGAGGCTCCAGAAAGAGCAGGTCCCAGAAAGGTCTCAGCCTGTTCTTCAGAAAGGAATGGCCGCTTGTCTACAGGGTGGAGGAGGAGGCAGAGGAGGAGGGGAGATGAGCTTCGGGGCCTTGGTGGATTGAGAATAGGCCAGGATGAACCGGCCAGGAAAGAGCGGCCCCAATATCTCTCTCTCTGTCTCTCTGTCTCTGTCTCTGCCTCTCTCTCCCTCCCTCTGAGGTCTGGAAAGTGCTGTAGGGTTTCAAGGAGTGGTACCAGTCATTTGACTTTTTCTGAAAAGATAAGCCCTACCCCCTCCATAGCAAATGTCCAGAACGAAGGAAGTCCACATTTCTACCTGAAGTTTACAAAACCTCAGGGAGCACGTGAGATCAGGGCTATTACGAAACCGGGTGAGAATAAAAATAGGTGATGCTGCAAATCTACTTTCACCAGCTTGGACAAAAAGGCCAATATGAGATTTTAAAAACCCAAATAAAAAATGTCAACGGCGCAGAAGAGGAGCGGTGCACATTCCCTGAGCTGCTGCGGGAGCACGTGCAAGTCCCTGTGAGGCTCAGGTGTGCGCTGAGTGCTGGGGAGGCTGCAGGGGAAAGCAGGAAGTGGGGCGGGGTGGGGGGGGGTCGGGGGTGGATGCAGGTGGCACCGGCAGCCTGGATGCTTCTCTCTCCAGGAGGGCGTCTGTTGGGGACTGGGACACAGAGGCTCTGATTCTGAGGTGGAGACACCAGGATGGGAGCAGGTGGGGCCTCCGTCTTCCACCCTCAGTCTAATCTCAACTCCTTTGAGGTTCACCCCCCGTCTCCTCCCAGCCCTCCCTGCACTTTACTCTACTGAGACTTCAGGGGTGGGAGCCAGGGGTGGGAGGTCCCTGTCTATTTCCATCTTCCCATGGGCTGGACCCTCCCCTGCGGACCCTCTCCCTTCACTCCCCTCTTTCCTTAGTGTCCAGAGCTCTGCTGGGGGCAGGGCCTGAGCTGAGCCTTTGAGCTCAGAGAGGACAGGGTCAGCGCCCTCACCTGAGACCACGAGCTCCACGGGGCCACTGGGGTGAGACAGCAGGTAGGGGTCGGAGCTGAGTGAGCCGTAGCACCTGTAGGTCCCCGTGTGGGCTGAGGTCACAGGACTCATGGGGAATTCAGCCTGGTACTTATGAGCTCCGTACTTTGATCTCAGACACAGCAGGGGATGGGCTGCCCCCTCCTTGGTCAGAAGGAAAGTGTGCATCCACTCTTGTGATTGACACAGCAGGGTCACGTTCTCTCCTGAGGCCACTGTGGGCCACAACTGCACTGAGAGGGAGGGTCTGCCAGGGATCTGTCCTGGACAGAAGACAGATGGGTGAGGGGCTGCCCCACCTTGTTCTGAGCTGAGACCTCCCCAGACCTCTCCCTGGGACCCTCAGTCTCTGTGTCTGTTTTCTGAGTCTCCCCCTCCCCCCATCCCCTGTCTCTGTCTGTCTCTCCCTCCCTTGGGACCCCCACCCCTCATCCCGGCCATCACCACCTGGGCTCCCCCGGCAATGCCTGTGCCGAGCCCGGGTCCCTGACTGAACCCGCTGGGCTCCTCACCTGCGATCAGGATGTCCAGGGGGTCACTGGGGGCCGACCACTCGGAGGAGAGGTTGTGTGCACCGGAGCATCTGTACTGGCCCCCGTGGGAGCCCCTCACAGGGCCCAGGGTGAAGTTGGCCTGGGAGAGCCCAGCCTGGGGCTGCTGGCCAGGGCGCTGGAGGAAGTCACATTCCCCCTCCTTGTACAGAGTGAATCTGTCGTAGCCGACATCAGAGCCACACTGGAGGGTCAGGGTCTCTCCAGGGGCCAGGACAGGGGGAGAGCTCTGTCCTCCCATGTCAGAGCCTCCCCATGGGGTCTCCCTCATGCCTTCAGCCCATCCATCAACACATCACTGTGGGTCCTTTCCAGATTCAGTCACCAGCCAAACTCCCCACAACCTGTCAGCTGTCCGGAAAGTGTGTTAGAGAAGGCCGTGGCTCCCTCACCTGAGGGCAGAATCTCCAGGGGGTCACTGGGGTGGGACCACACCTGGGGGGTGTTCATATAATAGTAATAGCATGTGAACCTCCACCTGTGGCTGGGGGTCACGGGGCCCACAGGGAACAGGGCCTGGAACCCCCCACTGTGGAGCTGCTGTGAGTCCAGGGTCCGGGGGAGCTGGTGTTCTCCTTCCTTCATCAGAACAAAATGGTGATATCCCTTCTGTGAGCCACATCGGAGGGTCACTTTCCCCCCTGAGGCCACCACAGGGCTGGGCAGGGCTGAGAGGGTGGGTTTGCTGTAGAATCCTAGGAGAGAAGGAGGCACCATGTTAAATGGGGCTCCCACCTCCCACATCATCCCCAGGGCTGGGCTGTGAGAGGGAGACACCCCTGAGAGCCAACCCCCTTCCTGAGGGCAGAGCCTGGGGCTGGGACCCCTGAGTGTCCTCTCACCTGTCATCACCAGCTCCAGGGGGTCACTGGGCTCTGACCAGCCCGCAGGGCTGAGATAGTAACACTGATATCTCACTGCATGGTGCTGTGTCATGGATGGGATGGAGTATCTGGCCTTGTTCCTGGTCTCCAGTGGATTCGTTCTGTCCCAGGGCTCTGTGCTTCCCTCTTTATATAGATGGTACTCCTGGGCTTCCAGGGTCCCCTGACACCACATGGTCATGGGGCTTCTCCAGCTGATCACAGAGCCTGGCTTAGCCCAGAGGGTGGGCCTGGGGAGAGTACATGGAAGGAAATCAAAGCCTGGATCCCAAGACCTTCCCCACCCCTCAGATCATCCCAGCTGCCTGCCCAGAACTGCTGTCTCCATCCCCAACTGTCCAGGGTGAGGAGGAGGGACCTGGGAGAGCTGGGGACAGACTCACCTGCCTGCATGCGGGTCCTGGGGCCCAGACTCAGCCCTGGAAGAGAATTCCCAGTGAGGGATTTGCCCCGTGAAGCCTGAGCAAGTCCTCCCCTGCCTGGGAGCTCCCTAAAGCCCTGGGATCTCTTGATGGACCAGGGCCTGTGGGGTTTCCTCTCTCCTCTTCAAATCTCACCAAAGCAAAGCAAAGCAAGGCTGTGAGGGCGGCGGTCATGGCGTCTCCTCTGCCTCCTTTCAGCTTTGCAAATGGATGAGCCGTTGGTGCTGGCAGGACAGAGAGACACACAGGGTGTGGCCCCTCAGAGGCTGGGTCTTTCTTGTCATGGGGTTATCTCATCCGCAGCCCACAGGAACGGAAACTGCCCTCCCCAGGAGGCTGGCTCTCATTTCCCCAGGGCTGAGATGGGGGTGGGCACCAGGCTCTCTGCAGACATTTCAGAGAGAAATGGGGTCTCCCTGCCCCCAGGCCACTGTCTGCCTGATCTGTCTTTATCTTACCGAGAGCCGGGACACAACAGCAAATAGACCTGATGCCTTCCGGAGTCAGCCCCTTTCAGGCGAGGGTGACCTCCTCCCGCTCAGAGCCTCCCCATGGGGTCTCCCTCCCTCCTTCAGCCCATCCATCAGCTCAGCGTTGCGGGGTCCTTACCGTGGTCAGTGATTCTCCAGCCCTGGAGATGCTTCAGGGAAGACCCAGGTCCATGCTGCAGGCAGACTCAGATCAGCAGAGACGCACCTGACACCTGGCTGTGCAGCCGAGGCTGAGCTGCATGTGGCAGTGAGAACACAAGAGAGATGCAGGGAATAAAGAGAATAAAACATATGTTTTTCTGTCCCTGGAGTGTGTGTTTCCTTTCTGCCAAACAGTCCCTTTCTTGTCCCTTCAAGAACAGTCTCTTCCTTTCTACCAAACTTCCTATTTTTTTCCTTCCTTCCTTCCGTCCTCTTCCTCCCTCCCTCTCTCCCTCCTTCCTTCCCTCTGTCTTTCCTTCCTTTCTTTTTGCAGCAGCATCCACCCCCCACCCCTGAGAACAAACCTCTAAGTCATTCCTGCCTTCTCAGTGCCCCTCACTTCCTGGGCCTTCCTCTGTGCCTTAATCCACGTTTAAGGTTTTTGGAGCAATTACGTTAGGTTTGAGCTCTGATTTCGGACATTGGGTTGGGAGGTGACTTTTATTTAATTCCTGATTATCATCCCCTGCCTGTGTGACCTTGGGAAGTAATATCCCATCCCTGAGCCTCAATTTCCACGTTTGGAGCCTGTTGTCATGATCCCCACTCATCACAGTGGCTATGGGGGTCAGTGGTGCCCAGGACATGGGAGGGGCTCAGCCATGGTTAATTTCTAGACCAGTTAAGACAGGAGGGTGGGGATGGGAGAGGATCCTGATGTTGGGCTCCACAGTGGAGGACGATGATTGATGCCCCCATGAAGAGCCGACGTCAACTTTGAACACTGAGAAACCTAGTTACGATATTTCTGAATCCTGTAGTCATGGTCTTAATGTAGAAAAAGTTAAATAACAAATTCCTGAAATAGACAGGGTGCCGTAAGACAGATCATAGACCAGAGCTGAGGGACCACTGGTGCCTGGGACCACCCAGGGCTCATTAGTGGGGGAGATTTCCACCTCTGTGTGTGGGACAGAAGAGGAACCCCAGGTCCTCACAGGCAGGGAGGAGTCAGGGCTTTGGGTGAGGCTGGAAGCTGTGGTTCCTCCTCCCCTGTGTGTGTGGACAGGCGCTGGAAATATCTCTGCTCATTGACATGGGCCCGTGGTCCACACTGAATCATCTCCCTTGTTTGTGTGAAACAGATTCACCGCGACATTGTCAGATATGGGTGTCTGTCCCACGTGTGAGTGTGAGGTTCACACTAGACCCTCCTGTGCTGGGCAAAACCCTAAGCAGATGATATGTTTGGAGGAGTTGAGATCATGCAGCAGGGATAGCTGGAACAATCCCCTCTTTTTCAGTCTGACCCCCAGGAGAGCACTAAGAACTACCTTCCATGGATAATTAGGTGTGTAAGAAATGAACCATTCAACAAACACGGACAGCAAAGAGTAATCCCTATAACCACAAGAAGTGCCACCAACGACAACCTATTGACTCATTAAGAGTTTATTGTATATTTTCAGATAGCTAGAAGAGAGGATTTTGAATGTTTTCAACACAAAGAAACGATAAATGTTTGAAATGGCGGATATGTTCATTACTCTTATTTAACCATTACACATTATATATATGTGTTGAAATATCAACTCTATACCCTACAAATATATACAATTATTATGTGTCAATTATAAGTTATAATAAAGACGCACTTAATCCCAGCACTCTGGGAGGCCAAGGCAGGTGGATCACTTGAGCCCAGGAGTTCTAGCTCTTTGAAAACATACAATAAACTCAAAACCACTATGAGATACCATCTCACACCAGTTAGAATGGCAATCATTAAAAAGTCAGGAAACAACAGATGCTGGAGAAGATGTGGAGAAACAGGAAATCTTTTACACTGTTGGTGGGAGTGTAAATTAGTTCAACCATTATGGAAGACAGTGTGGCGATTCCTCAAGGATCTAGGACTAGAAATACCATTTGACCCAGTAATCCCATTACTGGGTATATACCCAAAGAATTATATATCATGCTATTATAAAGATACATGCACACGTATGTTTACTGTGGCACTATTCACAATAGCAAAGACTTGGAACCAACCCAAATGTCCATCAATGATAGACTGGATTAAGAAAATGTGGCACATATACACCATGGAATACTATGCAGCTATAAAAAAGGATGAGTTTATGTCCCTTGCAGGGACATGGATGAAGCTGGAAACCATCATTCTCAGTACACTATCACAAGGACAGAAAACCAAACACCGCATGTTCTCACTCATAGGTGGGAATTGAACAATGAGAACACCTGGACACAGGGCGGGGAACATCACTCACTGGGGACTGTCTGGGGCTGGGGGGCTGGGGGAGGGATAGCATTAGGAGAAATACCTAATGTAAATGACGAGTCGATGGGTGCAGCAAGCCAACATGGCACATGTATACCTATGTAACAAGCCTGCACGTTCTGCACGTGTACCCCAGAACGTAAAGTATAATAATAATAAAAAAAGAGTGGTCTCTGGGCTATAAGTTCCCTGCAGAGGGTTGCATCATTTATTTTTTCACTGTCCCCCACCCTAATGTTTGTAGGCTCATATATTATGCCAGTTAATATGCAAAGACTTTGGGATTCAGTACTGAATAAAGCTTCTAGGATACGCTAGAACTTAAAGTATAATAAAAACATCTAAAAAAGAAAATATACAGTAAACTATTGTTAACTATAGTCACCCTACAGTGCTGTAGGATACCAGAACTTATTTCCTCCATCTAGCTGTACAGTAAACTATTGTTAACTATAGTCACCCTACAGTGCTGTAGGATACCAGAACTTATTATTTCCTCCATCTAGCTGTACAGTAAACTATTGTTAACTATAGTCACCCTACAGTGCTATAGGATACCAGAACTTATTTCCTCCATCTAGCTGTACAGTAAACTATTGTTAACTATAGTCACCCTACAGTGCTGTAGGATACCAGAACTTATTTCCTCCATCTAGCTGTACAGTAAACTATTGTTAACTATAGTCACCCTACAGTGCTGTAGGGTACCAGAACTTATTTCCTCCATCTAGCTGTACAGTAAACTATTGTTAACTATAGTCACCCTACAGTGCTATAGGATGCCAGAACTTATTTCCTCCATCTAGCTGTACAGTAAACTATTGTTAACTATAGTCACCCTACGGTGCTGTAGGATACCAGAACTTATTATTTCCTCCATCTAGCTGTACAGTAAACTATTGTTAACTATAGTCACCCTACAGTGCTATAGGATACCAGAACTTATTTCCTCCATCTAGCTGTACAGTAAACTATTGTTAACTATAGTCACCCTACAGTGCTGTAGGATACCAGAACTTATTATTTCCTCCATCTAGCTGTAATTCTGTATCCTTTAACCAGCATTTCCCTCTCCCCTCTTCCCACCCTTCCCAGCCTCTAGTTACCACGACTCTGCTCTCTGCTTCTGAGATCAACTGTTTTAACTCCCACACATGAGTAAGAACACGCTACCTTTGTCTTTCTATGCCTGGCTTATCTCACTTATTTCCTCCAGGCTCATCCGTGTTGCCACAAATGACAGGATTTCATTCTTTTTAACGACTGGGTAATATTCCATTGTGTAAATGTACCACATTTTCCTTATCCATTCATCTGTACATAAACACTTAGGTTGCTTCCAAATCTTGGTTATTGTGAATAGTGCTGCAGTAAACACCAGGGTGAAGCTATCCTTTCAATATACTGATTGCCTTTCCTTTCGATCTATACCCAGAACTGGGCTGGCTGGGTCATAGGGTGGTTCTCTTTTTAGTTTTATGAGGAACCTATGTACTGTTTCCTGTAATGACCACACTCCTTCTTGTTGCCTTCAACAGTGCACAAGAGTCCCCTTTTCTCTGCATCCTAGCCACCACTTGTTATTTTTTGTCTTTTTGATAATGGCCTTTCTAAGTGGTGATAAAGAAGTGCTGGGAAGGGAAGGGTGTAGTCCCTTTAAATAATACAGAAGAGGGAAGGGAAGTGCTGGGCAGAGGAGGGCGTGGTCCCTGGCTAGGGCTCCACCCTCACAGACCTAGGTGAGGACGGGCACTTCCTGCCCAAATGTTGCATTTCCCAAGACCACCCTGGCCTGCCACGCCCCCATCCTGTGCCTATAAAACCCCCGAGACCCTAGCACGCAGACACACAGGCGTGAGCCACAGCACCTTGCTGAAGTACATCCACACCGTTGCGCAACCATCATCCCCATCCATCTCCAGATCTTTTTCATGATCCTAAACTGAAAATCTGTATGCATTAAATACCAATTCCCATTTTCTCTCCCCCAACCCCAGCCCCTGGAAGCCAATATTCTACTTTCTGTCTCTATGGGTTTGCCTATTCTATGCACTTCATATAAATAGAATCATACAATACTTGTCTTTTTGTGATTGCCTGATTTCAGTCTGCATAACATCTTCAAGTTTCACCCGTGTTGTAGAATGTGGCAATCATGATTTCATTCCTTGTAAGACATACATACTCTACTGTATGTCTACACTACAGTTTATGTCTCCACTCATCCATCTATGAACATTGGGTGGTTTATTCTTTTTGTTTGTTGTAAGTAATGCTGCTGTGCACATGGAGGTATAAATATCTGCTCAAGTATTTGCTTTGACTTCCCCTGGATATATACACAGAAGTAAAATGGCAAGATTACATGGCAAGGCTATGCTTCATTTTTTAAGAAGTCACCATACATCTGGGTAATTATGTACACCACGTTCGGTTTTGGCAGTCTCATAAGCAATATGAGGCCATGGCCATTCTCATTTTTATTCAGTACTGAATCCCTAAGTCTTTGCATATTAACTGGCATAATATATGAGCCTACAAACATTAGGGTGGGGGCAGTGACAAAATAGATGATGCAATCCTCTGCAGGGAACTTATAGCCCAGAGACCACTCTTTTTATTATTATTATTATTATTATACTGTAAGTTCTGGGATACATGTGCAGAACGTGCAGGTTTGTTACATAGGTATACAAGTGCCATGGCAATTTGCTGCACCCATCAACCCGTCGTCTACATTAGGTATTTCTCCTAATGTTATCCCTCCCCTACCCCCCTACCCAACCCCCTGACAGGCCCTGGTGTGTGAAGTTCCCTCTCTGTGTCCATGAGGACACATATATATCATATATATCACACCTGTAATCCCAGCACTTTGAAAGGCCGAGGCGGGTGGATAACTTGAGGACAGGAGTTTGAGACCAGCCTGGCCAACATGGCAAAACTTCATCTCTACTAAAAAAAAAAAATACAAAAACTGGCCAGATGCAGTGGCTCATGCCTGTAATCCCAGCACTTTGGGAGGCTGAAGTGGGTGGATCACAAGGTCAAGAGATTGGGACCATCCTGGCCAACATGGTGAAACCCCGTCTCTACTAAAAATACAAAAATTAGCTGGGCATGGTGGTGTGCACCTGGTAGTCCCAGCTACTCAGGAGGCTGAGGCAGGAGAATCGCTTGAATCCGGGAGGCAGAGGATGCAGTGAGCCGAGATCACGCCACTCCACTCCAGCCTGGCGACACAGCGAGACTCCATCTCAAAAAACAAGACAAAACAAAACAAGACTAGCTGGGTGTGGTGGTGCATACCTGTAATCCCATTTACTCGGCAGGCTGAGGCACAAGAATTGCTTGATCCTGGGAGGCGGGGGCTGCAGTGAGCTGAGATAGTGCCACTGCACTCCAGCCTGGGTGACAGACAGATTCTGCCTCAAAACAAAGAATAAGATACTGTCATTTTCAGCCACATTAATGGACCTGGTGGTCATTATTCTAAGAGAACTGACACAGAAAAAGAAAGCTGAATACTATATGTTGTCACTTATAAGTTGGAAGTAAATACTGAATACATAATGGACACATAGGAGGTAATAACACACAGTGGGGCCTCCTTGGTAATCACACACAGGGGGACCTCCTTGAGGGTTGAGGAAGTGGGGAGGGTGAGGACAGAAAAACTACCTATTTGGTACTATGCTTACCACCTGGATAACAAAATAATGTGTACTTCAAACCCTTGTAACACACAATTTACTTATATAACAAACCTGCACATGTACCTCTGAACCTAAAAGTTAAAAAAACACATTTATTTGCCACATATTTAATTTAGCACCATATTTTCACTTTCCATAATGATTCTTCTGATGGCAACTTTTCATTTTCATGTCTAGACAAAAACAAAATAAATTAATAATGGTTTCTCAGTTTGGCATTATCTAAAGTAGGATGAGAGTAGAATTCTATTACACTTACGTAATGCCATGCAGTGAAAAATTATTATTTCTAGCCACATTCAATTCGAAAAAAATTTTAATTTCCTAAAATTTAGACATTTTCCAAAGAATATAAATTAGAAACTATCAAAACATAGTTTTTATTTTTGCATTTTTTACTTGTTTAATAATTAACAAGTTGTTAAATTACAAAGTAAAATAATTGGTGTTAAAAATTGAGAAATATTAGATTCTTGGAAATTACAGATTAGTTCAGAGAAATAGATACTTTAAAAACTCAAAGCCATTTCTTGGTGGATACACAATAATCCATAACAGTTTGGCCCAAGTGTTGTAGAGGATGGGGAGAAAAATAAGAGAATAAGAAAAGAATATGAATTTCATATATGGTGTGCACATGAACCTGTTGAAAAATTTTCTTGGAAAGAAAATATTTTATAACAACAACTAGAATATATTTAGCAAATTTGTATCAGAGATCAACAAACCAACAAACACAAGTTAGAGAAAGGGGCATGTTGCCCATTAAGTCATAGAGAAAACATACAAATACATTTAAATTATACCAAATAAATCATGTAAGCAGGAGTGAGAATGACACAATTATGGTAAATAATGGAGACGAGAAAATACCTGTGAGTCCTAGACCCGTTGTGATTACGGGCCCCATATGTCCTTCAGTAACTACAATCATTTATGAAAAAGTAAATACTGGTCTTTGTTTCTTTTATCGAATTCTTTGTTTTTCTTATGGAAACACAATTAGGAAATAATGAGGCTATATTTTACTTTCTGGGATGGTGACAGGAAATTCCTCACCTCACGCTCCCGTGGCTAGGATCTCAGCTGTCAGAACAGACCAAGCGTTCACCACTTAGGGGCTGAGAGGAGGAACAGTTTCAGAAAGCTTTGGCTTCAGAACCCAGTGAATCTGGAGCAGATGAAAAGGTTTCGGAACTCTGAAAGCGCTTTTAAATACGGTTAAGGATCAGAGTTGCATTTATTAGACATGAACACCCATATAGTCCCTGATTATTCCTGCTCTCTAAGCCTTGACAATTCTTAGTCACGTTTTGTAAAAGTGAGATTTATATTTTTCTAAATGAAAGATATAATTTACCTTCTTCACGCCGATCTGAGAAATTGTCTATAGACATATATTACTGGTGAAATCAAGTGCATTCGGCTCCCCGGAACCCATAAGAAAGGAGATGAAAGTGTACCGTTTTGCAATCATCACAGAAGGTTTTCAGAGACGTACAGCCATTGCCAACCAAAGTGCAGCATGCAGCCACCAGAGATATTTCAAATGTCCTAAGTACCAGTTGCCATTAGACAACAGGTGTGTGAACAGGAGCCAAGACCTGAACACACTCTTACCCCTCGTACAAAGAGGAGAGCTAAGACTATGAGGTTTGGTATATTTATTCAGACAGAGTCTTTCAGATGGGGCTATGACAGAGAAGGTAAACAGGAGATGCCAGGCAGCCCTGAGTGGGAAGGCTGGGGTGGTTCTGTGTCTCAGGAACTCTCAGAAAATACCCCTGCCCCATGTTTCTTTTCCATGTTCAGTTTTGACCTTAGGGGAAATAGACCGGGATGTTTACACCATATATATATATATATATATATATATATATATACACACATATATGTTGCAACAAATATTCTACATCTCTAAGAATATGGCTCTCTAACTGAAAGAAGGTCCACTTACCAAATGCAGTTTCTTGCTGGGAAAGCAACTGCCATAGTCACAGTCTAAGCACCTCCACAAAAGGGGGCATCTTAACCCTGAGATAAAGGCTTAAGACTACCATGAGATCCTTTTCTTGCCGGGAAGTGATTATCATTTCATCTGCAAGTACAGTGACAGTGTTTGCATAGGGATTTCAGTTGATCTAGAAAAACATCCGTGAAATGTTCAAATTACTGAAAGCTATTCGTAGCTATTAGTTTTAGTCGACTGAGAAAGTTGGAGCAAGAAAGAGAGAGATGGAAAGAAACAGAACAATAGAGAGACAGAGACAGGAAGAGACAGAGAAACTTAGAGAGGAAATCATATCTGGGAAGCTTGAAGTAGACTAGGTAGAGACGGCATTGCAGCCAAGGACATTGAGATCTAACTGAGAGAAGGAAAGTAAGGATAAGGCTGGGGTTTGTTTCTTGCCAACCTTAAGGTTTTGCCTCCCCCAAGAATATTTTTCCATTCTGAGGACTTTGCACTAAAGGCAGCCTGGAAGGGAGAAAAAAAGAGAGAATCAAGTAGAAATCATTTGCTCCAGTGTTAAAAATAAACTTGGAAGAAGTGGAGACACTTTTATTCACTGTTTTCATGGGCACACATTAAGTATCTAATGGGTCAAACGTGATTCTTGGTGTATAAGATGTATCAGAAAAAAGACAGAAAGACTTCTAAAAAAGTGTCTGTATTGAATCAATATTATAGTTGAGAAAGATGGATATTAGACAACAACAAAAATTAATAGAAAATCCAATATGTTATAGGATGATACATGTCTTGTGAGCAAAATAACAATAAAGTAATAGCAGAGAGCTCCCCTGAGCAAGAAGAAATTCTTCCAGCAGATTGTCTTTGGATTTTTTAGTTTGCTACAACTCTTTCCTGAGTCTCCAGGATACTCTACTGTCCTGCAGATTTTGGACTCACCAAGCTCCTACAATCACATGAGCCAATTCCTAGGTAAATGAATAGATAAACAAATAAATAGATAGATAGATAAATAGATAGATACATAGATACATGGATAGATACATAGATAGATACATAGATACACAGATAGACACATAAATAAACATTCTGCTGGTTCAATTTCTCTGGAGAACCCTTGAAAAAAAAATCATTTTGGTTCCAGGGATGATTCCAAAGGAACAGAATTTTTAAGGATGAGTTTTCTGAATTGGATCCAAAGTTTCTGAAATCGGCTTTCTAATTTGATTAGATTTAAAAACACTAATGACTCCATTTCCAGTAGTGTTGATAGTGCATAACATGATGTGGCCATAGGGATACACCAAATGTCATCATTGGAAACGCCTAACAAACATTTATAAGAATCTGAGTGGGCCGGGTGCGGTGGCTCACCCCTGTAATCCCAGCACTTTGGGACGCCGAGGCGGGTGGATCACGAGGTCAGGAGATCGAGACCATCCTAGCTAGCACGGTGAAACCCCATCTTTCCTAAAAAAAAAAAAAATACAAAAAAATTAGCCAGGTGTGGTGGTGGGCGCCTGTAGTCCCAGCTACTTGGGAGGCTGAGGCAGGAGAATGGCATGAACCTGGGAGGCGGAGCTTGCAGTGAGCGGAGACCATGCCACTGCACTCCAGCCTGGGCGACAGAGCAAGACTCCGTCTCAAAAAAAAAAAAAAAGAATCTGAGTGATCATGTACATAATACTTTTGAATGTTTTTGAAAACTAATGAGCATAATGAGATTGGCTGGGTTGTCACTGGACAAAGTTGGGGAAAGAAGAGGATGAATTCAAAGATTTGAATTTTCAGTTCAAGTGCAAACATAAATGAGCTAAGACTTCTATATCTGCCCTAAAAGATACTCATCATTTGTAGCCACAGGGCTGAGGCCTTTGAAAAGTCAAACCTGGGGCCAGGTGCGGTGGCTCACGCCTGTAATCCTAGCACTTCGGGAGGCCGAGGTGGGCAGATCATGTGAGGTCAGGAGTTCGTGACCAGTCTGGCCAACTTGGCGAAATCCCGTCTCTACTAGAAATACAAAAATTAGCCAGGTGTGGTGGCTGGTGCCTGTAATCCCAGCTACTCAAGAGGCTGAGGCAGGAGAATTGCTTGAACTCAGGAGGTGGAGGTTGCAGTGAGTCGAGATCGTGCCATTGCATTCCAGCCTGGGGGACAAGGGCAAGACTCTGTCTCAAAAAAAAAAAAAAAGAAAAAGAAAAAGCAAACCCAGAAACTCACCCTTCAAGTGGCTAAATTACAATACAAATGGAATTCCCAGCCTCAAAGGGTGTCTACTTTAAGGGTATTGATTCGGAAGGTGTGGAATCTTGACATTTGGAATAGGGATGTGTGAAAGACACTGATGAAGGTAAGGACAGTGAGTTCCTTAATCATGCTCTTTGACAATGGAAGCATTCTCTCCCCGTGCATCTGAGGAGATTAACCCTGCACTGTCTGAGGAAACAATAGTGGCCTCCGTGGAGGCAGTTGCCATGCAAGACAGTGCTAATTTTCCTCAGGATCCGCCCCCACTACCCATCTTTGCTTCTAAGCCATAGGTTCAATGTGTGATCCATGGGGAAATGTGCTACACTCCAAAGTGACTACTAAGTTCTTCTGATTTATACACCTAGAAATCTAGGGAACATGTGTGCGAATGGACATTAAGGGTGTTGGATAATGGTGAAAGGAAGATAAAGTTGAGCCAGGCCAATGTTATTGATATGGACCTACTAAGGAGAGATCCTGCATTTAATGTTGCATCTCAGTGAGCTAGACATGGCTCTAACAGTTTGTCTGGTTCATTGGCTAAAACATGGAACAAACGTTGGCCCACAGTAAGAGGGGCCATATTGTATTCATAATGCACATTCCTAGAGAAATAAACAGATAGCTAGATAGACAGAGGATAGGTATATACATAAATAAACATCTGATTGGTTCCATTTCTCTGAAGAAAACTCTTGCAAAAACAGATTTTAGTCTAAGGGATAATCGCACTCAAACTTTATTGCACTCATAATATACACTCATGAGCAGCCAAGGAAACTCAGTATTCTGTATGACGAAGGAAGTTCCAGGATGCTTCCCTCTTGGCTTCCTGTCTGCCTACCCTGGTGTAGAGTACAAAAATAATTGCCTATTTAGATAGCAACATTCCATGGTCCAGCTAGACGTCATCAACCTCTTGAGCTTCCCCACATCCTGTTCAATTTTGGCTCCTATTCAAGGTCTCCAACAGACCTGGCCCTGTATCTAGACACCATTCCTATTTCCTCTATCAGGCCCCAGCCCCAGGAGAGTGGCTCCTGTGGTCGCTGTCCACAGCACTGACTGGGATGTTGCCATGAACTCTAGTTTCAGCACCATGGTCAGAGTCCAGGAAGCAACAAGGCTTCCACTGTTTTCTGGTGTGTTAGTTGATACATTTGTATGAGCTGGGCCCCCTCTTAGAGACTCCTAAATAGAGATTCCCTGAAGGTGTCTAATAAATATTTAGCGAATGCATCAGAATAAATTGGAAAAAGACACATCCACTCCATGGATTCTGAATAGGAATGGAATTCAGAAGCTTATGATGTTAGCCGCTCACCCAGCAGGACAACCACTAGCACGGCCCAGGGTGGCATTTAGAGTTGGCTCTTCCTCATCCACCTCAGGTCATCTCTTTCCAGACCATGTTCAGGAAACCAGTTTATAGGGTATTGACTAAAAAGCAACAGGCTTGGGGCCAGACACAGTGGCTGACGCCTGTAATCCCAGCACTTTGGGAGGCTGAGGAGGGATGATCATGAGGTCAGGAGATGGAGACCATCCTGGCTAATATAGTGAAACCCTGTCTCCACCAAAAATACAAAAAAAAAAAAAAAAAAGAAAATTAGCCAGTCGTGGTGGCGGGTGCCTGTAGTCCCAGCTACTTGGGAGGCTGAGGCAGGAGAATGGTATGAACCCAGGAAGCAGAGCTTGCAGAGAGCTGAGATCACGTGACTGCACTCCAGCCTGGGCAACAGAGTAAGACTCGGTCTCAAAAAAAAAAAAAAAAGCAACAGGCTTGGAGTTACATCACAGTACTTTCAAAACCTACATCTGCCTCTTGCTATCTCTGTCTCCTTGGGAAAGTCACTTTGCCTCTCTGAGGCTCACTTTGCTTTTCTATAAAATTGCAATAATAAAAATGTCTTCTTTGTAAGGATATTTGGTGGGTTGACAATCAGAGATTATTATATTCTACCTCTCATAGGAAGCAATCAGTTGAACTAACAGGGAAGACTCTGGAGCCAGGAAGCCTGAGATTTGATCACAGCTCTGCCCCTTTTAACTTCGTGAGTTAGGGAAAGTTACCCACATTGCTATTGTGTCATATATAAACTTAGTATAGTGCTAGTATCTACCTTACATGGTTTTGGTGGGGAACTACATAGTTAATACATGTGATGTACAAAGTGAAATTCTACCATGTTCTTAGCAGTCATTCAATAATGTGGGCTATTTTTTACTATGATTATTATTTTCATTATATGCCTAGAGATAACCTGATGAACTATGCTCAGTAAATGACAGCTGCTTTTATGAAGAATTGCTAGAATTGCTGTGAAGGTCCTTAGGCATCTGACACATTCCCTGGTTTATGTTCTAACATTCTAGACTCTCCATCTGAGGTTTATAGACTCTTTATCAGCCCTGAGGGATGCAGGTATTTGTTTATTACTAGATTCATGCAGAAAACATCCCCTGGGTCTCTGGCGTGCCATATCCCGTGCAGGAAATGGGTGATGTGAAAGATGGATATTAGAAGCTTAGAATATCTTAGCTTAGTTTAGATAGCTAAGCTTCTAAGCTTAGAAGATTAGAAGATAGCTTAGAAGACTATAGCTTAGGTAGCTTAATGGCTTAGAATCTTCTAAACTTATTAGAAGATAGTTTGGAAGCTTATCTAGCTTAGATAGTTTAGAAGAAGCTTAGCTATCTTCTTAGCTTAGCTTAGAAGAAGCTTAGCTATCTTCTTAGCTTAGCTTAGAAGAAGCTTAGCTATCTTCTTAGCTTAGCTTAGAAGATAGCTTAGAAAATAGCTGCATTTTTTAATAAATAGCTTAGAAGGTATATAAGCTCTGGGAAACTTTGTAATTTTGAGTTGGTCTGGCAATGTTTTCCAGGCCTTCTCCCTGTAACCGGTAACAGAAATAAAAACTCTCTCCCTCCCCAGTTCATCCGCATCTCATTATTGGGCCATGAGAAATAGCAGCCCCACCCTCAGTTTGGTCTGGGAACACTTTGGGGGTAAGATTAGGACTGTAACCCGCAAGTGTTCTTGGGGCAAACAGGGTCACTCTCTGTCAAAACATCTGAGTCATTTCTCCTTCCTTACTACCTCTTTTCTTCCCTGCTCACAGCCCTCAGCTGATACCATGGATTCTGTCTCCATGCTTTGGGCAAGAGTGATCCCTGGAGGAAATGAACAGGTGTTAATGTAAGACATGAGGGTGGAATTTACTGATGGTTGACCTTGATCATGTAACACCTCTTTCCCATTTTCCTCCTTATAGAAGAAGATAATGACCCATATCTCAGGGTTGGTTTGAGGATGAGTATTGCCTGAGACATGTAAGGCTCTCAATCTCGTGTAATCTCTTTTACCAGATCCAGACACGTGGTGTAAGAGCCTTTATGTTCCAAAGGTAAGTCAGGAACAATCCGTCATCACGGGTGGAATGGTAAAGTGTCAGAAAAAGTTACAGACTGCAGGAATCCTGGAGCTCATCCCGAATTCTGTACTCAGCCACATTAGAATTTAAGATGTAAGGTGAAAAGATCAGCTTCATGTCTGAACACTGTGGGACTTAGGACGTCTCTCACTTATTAGGAATCCTACCTCACATTAAAAAAAAAAAACACTGGGTCATGTTGCAACTTTTTAAGATAAAAGAAATCTGCATAGAACCATGCTCTTTTTTCTTAAATTTCCATTCACTGAAGTAAAATACAGATAATGTAAAATTGACCCTTTAAAAGTATACAACTCTAGGCCGGGCGCAGTGGCTCACGCCTATAATCCCAGCACTTTGGGGGGCCGAGGCGGGTGGATCACCTGAGGTCAGGAGTTCAAGACCAGCCTGGCCAACATGGTGAAACTCCGTCTCTACTAAAAATACAGAAAAATTAGACAGGTGTTGTGGTGGCCACCTGCAATCCCAGCTACTTGGGGGGCTGAGGCAGGAAAATCGCTTGAAACTGAGAGGCGGAAGTTGCAGAGACGCGAGAATACACCACTGCACTCCAGCCTGGGCAATAAAAGTGAAACTCCGTCTCAAAAAAAAAATACATATATATATATATACAACTCTGTGGCATTTAGTAGATTTTCATTGCAGCAACTGCCACCTCTAGTTCCCAAAGATTTTCATCACCCCAAAAGGAACCCCGTTCCACGGAGCAGTCCCTCTCCTCTCCCTACCCCTGCTCAGCCCCAGGCAACCATCAATCTGCTTTCTGTCTCTGTGGATTTCCAGCTGCTGGACATTTTATATAAATGTAATCATATAGTATGTGACCTTTGGATCTGGCTTCTTTCACTTAGCTTCATATTTTGAATCTCCAAATTGCAGCATGCATCAGTACTTCATTTTTATGGATGAGTAAATTTCTAACATATGGATGCAACACGTTGGTTGGTGGACATTTGTGATACTTTTATCTTTTTATTGTGAATAATGCTTCTATAAACACTTGGGCACAAGTGTTTGGATATTGTCCAATGAGATAAGTCTCTTATCATTTCAGGAGATTTATTTGCCAAAGTTAAAGATGTGCCTGGGAGACAGATCTATGCCTTTCTCTGAAGATGATTTTGAGGGATCCAAATTTAAAGGGTAAAGGGCGGGATATTGAGAAGCACACAATTTTCATGTAAGAGGAGGGTAAGGAAAAATAGTTACGCATGCCTTTGTCTAGCTCAGTGAATCTGTATTTTTTTTAAAAATAGTCATTCATGCCTTTGTCTGGTTCAGTGAATCTGCACTTTTTACATCAGACGACAAAAACAAATGGGGCAGAGGAAAATATGCAGTGAATCTGCATTTTACATAAGATAAACATAGACAAAATTGGGTGGGGGAATGATCAGATATGCATTTGTGTCTGATGGGCTGGGGAGACTGTACCTGGAAAGATAAGTTATCAATATACACTGGAAAGATAAGCTATCAATATACACTGGAAAGATAAGCTATCAATATACATTGGAAAGATAAGCTATCAATATACACTGGAAAGATAAGCTATCAATATACACTGGAAAGATAAGCTATCAATATACATTGGAAAGATAAGCTATCAATATACACTGGAAAGATAAGCTATCAATATACACTGGAAAGATAAGCTATCAATATACACTGGAAAGATAAGCTATCAACATACACTGGAAAGATAAGCTATCAGTATACACTGGAAAGATAAGCTATCAGTATGCACTGGAAAGATAAGCTATCAGTATACACTGGAAAGATAAGCTATCAGTATACATTGGAAAGATAAGCTATCATACACTGGAAAGATAAGATATCAATATACACTGGAAAGATAAGCTATCAGTATACACTGGAAAGATAAGCTATCAATATACATTGGAAAGATAAGCTATCAATTTACATTGCCATGGTGAAATTTTAACAGCTCACTAGGAATCTTCTTGTGGGCAAAACGTGGGGGAGGCATGTAGCTTTTCACCTTGTAGCCATCTTATTCACGAACCAAAATGGAGAGGCAGGTTTGTGTGACCCAGTCCCCAGCTTGACTTTCCCCCTTAGCTAAATGAGTGTGGGGTCCCAAAATTTAATTTCCTTTCACAATATCTACTATCAGTCTTTTTTTTTATTGTGGTAGGAAGAGTTAATTCTCCTACCAATTTTTAACTTCATGATGCAGTATTGTTAACTAAAGACAAAATGTTGTAGGGTACATTGCAAACTTCATTCGTCTTGTATAACCTAAACCTTTAGTCACATACCTAGAAGTGAAATTTCTAGATCATAGAGTAATTCTAGGTTTATTTTTTATTTTATTTTATATTATTATTTTATTTTATTTTATATTCAAAAGGTACATGTGCTTGTTTGGTGTATGTATGTGTGTGTGTGTATATATATATATAAATAGATAGATAGATTTTTTTTTTTTTGAGATGGAGTTTCACTCTTGTTGCTCAGGCTGGAGTGCAGTGGTGCGATCTCGGCTCACCGCAACCTCCACCTTCCAGGTTTAAGCAATTCTCCTGCCTCAGCCTCCCGAGTAGCTGGAATTACAGGCATGCACCACCATGCCCAGCTAATTTTGTATTTTTAGTAGAGATGGGGTTTCTGCACATTGACCAGGCAGGTCTCGAACTCCTGACCTCAGGTGATCCCCCCCATCTCTGCCTCCCAAAGTGCTGGGATTACAGGCGTGAGCCACCGCACCCAGCCCTAATATATTTTTTTAACCTCTTGCCCTCCTCCCACCCTTCCCCCCTTTTGGGTTTCCCTGTGTTTATCTCCATCTTTATGTCCATGAGTGCCTATTGTGTAGCTCCCACTTGTAAGTGAGATCATGCAGTGTTTGGTATTCTGATTCTGAGTTAGTTCACGTAGGATCATGGCCTCCAGCTCCATCCATGTTCCTGCAAAGGACATGATTTCACTATTTTTTATGGCTATGCTGTATTCTGGGCTATATATTTACCACTTTTACTTTATCCATGCCACGATGGATGGACATCTAGGATGGTTCCATGACTTTGCTATTGTGAATAGCACCACGGTGAACATACGAGTGCGTGTGTCTTTTTTAATATAATTATTTCTTTTACAGTAGTGGGATTGCTGGGTCAAACGGCAGTTCTGTATTTAGTTCTTTGAGAAACCTCTATGCTGTTTTCCATAGAAGTTGAGCTAATTTACCACCAACAGCATATAAGCCTTCCTAGGTTCATCTTTTAAGGAACTGTCAAACCGCTTTTTTCTTTTTCTTCTTTCTCTCTTTTTCTTTCTTTCTTTCTTTTCTTTCCTCTCTCTCTCTCCCCCTCCGTCCCTCCCTCCCTCCCTCCCTCTCTCTCTCTCTCTCTCTCTCTCTCTCTCTCTTTCTTTCTTTCTTTTTGATGGAGTCTGGCTCTGTCACCCAGGCTGGAGTGCAGCGGCACGATCTCGGCTCACTGCAACCTCTGCTCCTGGGTTCAAGCTATTCTGCCTCAGCCTCCTGAGTAGCTGGGATTACAGGCACCTGCACCGTGCCCAGATAATTTTTGCACTTTCAGTAGAGAAGGGGTTTTGCCATTTTGGCCAGGCCGGTCTCAAACTCCTGACCTGAGGTGATCCTCCTGCCTCGGCCTCCCAAAGTGCTGGGATTACAAACGTGAACCACCACGCCCGGCCTCCAAACCACTTTTCACAGTCACCGAAAAATTTCACAATCATGCCAGCAGTGCGTGAAGGTTCTCTTTCCGCACACCCTTCCTGACATTTGTTATTTTTCAGAATATGGCCAATCCAGTGTTTGAAGTAGTGTCTCACTGTGGATTCCTATGAATTTTTATAATAAGTAATGGTTTGGGTGTCTTTTGATGTGCTCACATTTATTCCTATATCTTGGGAGGATGTTGATAGAGGGGTCCAAAATTCCAGTTTGACAGAATAACTTCCAGATCTATGCTACAACATGGTGACTATAGTTAATAACGATATATTCTATTCTTGAAAATCACTGTGAGAGTAGATTTAAGAGTTCTCACCACAAACAGTAGTAAGTATGTGAACTGATGTGTATGTTTATTAGATCGATTTAGCCAACCCACAAATAGGAATGTTGCAATACCACATGTTGTATACAGTAAAAATATACAATTTAGGGAAACTTTTTTTTTTTTTTTTTGAGACGGAGTCTCTCTTTGTCGCCCAGGCTGGAGTGCAATGGCACAATCTTGGCTCACTGCAAGCTCCGCCTCAATTTAGGGAAACATTTTAAAAGCTGTGTTACTAACATGAAGTTCTACATTCACACGACTAATGCCAGCTTCAATGGACACGGGTTGGAGGTTTCTTACCTGAGACCATGAGCTCCAGTGATATGGCTTTGGTGACTAGGGTTTTTGGTCTCATGCCAGTTTAGATAAAACAATAAGGACACACGTGGAGTGGTTTTAAGGAGCAAAAAGTTTAATAGGCAAGAAAGAAGAAAGAAAGAAGAAAAGAGCTCCTCTGTACAGAGCCAAGGGAGGGGAGCTTGGAACAAAGAAGAACCCCGTGTGTGGTGGAAAAGTGGTTGCTTATATTGGGAGGCTGGAGGAGGCAAGTGTCTGGTTTGCATAGGGCCCAGGGGATTGGTTAGGCCAGGTGTGTCATTTACATAGCCCTCGAAAAACTTGTTCCTCCCACCTTAGCCTTTTAATATGCAAATGTGGGCCACCATGATGCTTTGTGTTATTTGGAGGTGGCCATCACGCTTGGCACAGGTGGTGATAAGAAGATGGCAGAAATCACCATATTGCATGAACCCATGTTTTAATGGCCAGCATTTGAATTTTAAAGCTTGCCGGCCAGGCTCTTTAAGACAGCTTCTCTGTTAGAAAAGAGATGGTTCAGGGGTTGTTTCTTATTACAGGAAAATTTCCACCAAGAACCTTTACCCTTACTATGTGCCTAAAATAATTCCTTAATAACTCCTGTATTATTCCTCCCCTTAAAGAGAGGCAAAGCTAACTGCTGTTAGTGCGTGTTGGATCATGTTTCTTTCTGGCTACTTCCTGCTGAAAAGGGGTGTTGTGTGGGGGAACAGCAGTTGGGCCTTTTTCTGAGGTTGATTTAAGGTTTCTCAAAAGAATGGCGTGTCCATGTGTGGCTTTGCTTGCAGCACCATTTGGAGTTTAATTACTTTTAGGCAAAAAGAGAGAAATTTTACAAGAAGGTTTAAAATATAGGGTTAGAATATGAGTATTAAGATTACCACCATTGGGGCTGGGTGTGGTGGTTCATGTCTGTAATCCCAGCACTTTGGGAGGCCAACGCGGGCAGATCACCTGAGGACAGGAATTCAAGACCAGCCTGGCCAGCATGGTGAAACCTCATCTCTACTAAAAATACAAAAATTAGCCGGGCATGATGGTGAGTTCCTGTAATCCCAGCAACTTGGGAGGTTGAGGCAGGAGAATCACTTGAACCCGGGAGGCGGAGGTTGCAGTGAGCTGAGGTTGTGCCACTGCATTCCAGCCTGGGCAACAGAGCAAGACTCTGTTTCAAAAAAAAAAAAAAAATACCATCGTTAGTGGCAGTCCTACAGACCCTAAGTGACAGTGGAGTTTGACACCTGTTGTTGTATCAATGGATTGCAATACAGGTTTTCCTCCACTAGATGTCGGTGTACATTACCAGGAACGTTACTGTAAAAGTAACTTTTTCCTAGAGAAAAGCATATGTTTCCTCCTTAACGTGCCAGTAGAGAATAACTTTAGGCTTAGGCCATTTTTACTACTTGCAGTATGATTGGGAGAAATACATTATTGGGTGGCTAAAATAACTTTAGCGTTAATTTTGACTTTTTTTAATTATTAAATTTTTTATGACTTTCACAGACTCTCTTACAACACACTTAAACTTTTAGACTTGTCCTAAACATTCTTCCTTTAAACAACCAGTTATTTTCTTTTAGGACAAGTATTCACCATACAAAATCCTTTTTTATGTAAATGTTTTTATAACCTTTTTATAGCTTACAGTGCATTATATCACCAACCTTTGGTAAAAAGTTTTATTACACTTAATGCTAGTAAAACTTTAATGCTTGCTTTTTATTCGTTACTATTACTTCTGCTATAAGCAAAACAACCTTGATTAAATTTTTTCTGCAATTATTAATTTTGTTATAAGGATGATAATCAGGCAAAATATTACCACAATTACAATTTTACAACCAGAATTCTACATTGTGGGTGCCACAGAGTATAGTTTCATTGCAAATAGCAGTGTGACTACAACAATTTTCACAAGAATGGCTTTTTTTTTTTTCTGGCCAGTAATTTTTGTTTAAAACTTTACTTGCTGGCCGGGTGTGGTGGCTCACACCTGTAATCCCAGCACTTTGGGAGGCCCAGGCGGGTGGATCACGAGGTCAGGAGATCGAGACCATCCTGGCTAACATGGTGAAACCCCGTCTCTCTAAAAATACACAAAATGAGCCAGGCGTGGTGGCGGGCGCCTGTAGTCCCAGCTACTCGGGAGGCTGAGGCAGGAGAATGGTGTGAACTCGGGAGGCGGAGCTTGCAGTGAGCTGAGATTGCACCACTGCACTCCAGGCTGGGCAACAGAGCGAGACTCTGTCTCAAAAAAAAAAAAAAAAAAAAAAAAAAAAAAAAAAACTTGCCAAGATATAACATTTTCCTTTGGGGATTCAGAAAGTTACAAATGTGATTTTATGAATATTTAAATTTTGCTGCAAATAAGTGTTAAAAAGAAGTTTTAATATTTGGCCGTGAACTTTGTGAGAAAAGGTTAGAAATAATAAAACATATTTGGTGGGTAGGAGTGGGACTGAGTAAGATGTGTAGCCCTTACTTAGTTACTTATCTTCTATGATTTTTAGCTTAAGATCTTCTATTTTTTTACATTAATATTTAGCTTTTTTTTTTTTTTTTTTTTTTTTTTTTTTTTTTTTTACTGTTAGGGGTTGGTTTTTTAGCTTTTTGGCTTTGACTTGAGTGTGATGCATGTAGAAGTTGATTCCTGTAACTTTTACTGCCGAGGAGGTTGAAAGACGAACAGTGTAGGGCCCTTTTTAGCTTGGCTTAGGGAAGGAGACAGAGATGAGAGTTCTTACTAATACTAAATTTCCTGAGTTAAATAAAGGTGGTTTTATTTCCTAGGGCTGGGCTTCTGCTATTGTGTCAATTTTTGTTGGAAGTGAGCTAGAGAGGTTACGTGGTTAACCATTCTAGAGGTTTCCCGTCTGAAAACAATGTTTGAGCCCATTGATAAGTTTTATTTTTTCCTGAGTGAAAAGCTTAGGACTTCAAGAACTTTCTGTTGGCTGGAGGCTGACCAATAAATTTGCCATCCTGACTGTAGCCATCCTGAGGGCTGAAAAGTATGCCCTTGAGAAGTGGCTTATTCTATTTTTTCAGGGGAATACTGAGGTGTGATTTCTCTTATGGAGCCTTTTTAGATTAGAAGGGGCTTGAAGTGCATTAAGGCCTTGAAGCTTTTATGCCTTTGACTTAGCTGCCCGATTGGCTAACTTATTTCCTTTGGCTACCTTATTGTTTATTCTTTGATGTTTCTTACAATGCATCCCTGCTACTTTTTGTGGAAGAAAAAATAAGAATAACTTGCTAATTTTTTGGTGATTTTTTATAGGAGATTTATTAGCAGTAAGAACATGTTTTTTTGTTTTAAATGGCAGCATGAGCATGGAGAACCAAGAAAGCATACTTGGAGTTAGTGTAAATGTTAGCTGCCTTTTCCTTGCTTAATTTAAGTGCTTTTTAAAGAGCTATTAACTCAGCTAATTGAGTGTTTGTGCCTGGAGAGAGTGACTACTGCTTATTCTGCCTTATTTACTTTTTGCTTTACGGGCTGTTTACCAGCTAAGAGCTCCCCCTAGAGGACAGTGATTCTGCTACATTATGTGGGCTGTAAACAGTTAAATTATTTTTATTTTCTAGGGTTAACTTGCAGGCTTTTCTGACTAGTAGAGCTATCATGACAATGGCTTCAATGGCTTGAAAGCATGTTTTTTTGATTTTTTGTTTGTTTGTTTGTTTGTTTTAGATGGAGTTTCACTCTTGTTGCCCAGGCTGGAGTGCAATAGAGCGATCTCGGCTCACTGCAACCTCTGCCTCTTGGGTTCATGCAATTCTCCTGCCTCAGCCTCCCAAGTAGCTTGGATTACAGGCATGTGCCACCACACCTGGCTAATTTTTTGTATTTTTAGTAGAGATGAGGTTTCTCCATGTTGGCCAGACTGGTCTTGAACTCCCAACCTCAGGTGATCCACCCACGTCAGTCTCCCAAAGTGCTGGGACTACAGGCGTGAGCCACCGTGCCTGACCGAAAGCATGTTTTAACTAAGATTGAGAAAATATTGGATTAGACTTTTTCCTAAGATGCCCCTTACGGTTGTGATGAAGGAAGAAGGGAGGCCTGGATTAGAGAATAGAAAAGAGAGAGAGACTAGCTTTAGTGTTTAGAAGGAGGTCTACTTTCCTTCCTTTAATTTCCAGAATTATCCAGGGCTCTTGTGCTATAATGGCAGTTTGAGCTACTGGAGCCTAGGTTCAAGCACCAGGATCCATCAGTTTTGCTGGACCATCTGTGAGACTGGTTTTGAACTCAGTGACCTCCATGTCTGGGGGCAGTTCTGTTTTCAGTGGTTTTTGCCACAGGCTGGACAGAGTGGAGGTTGCTTCATTTTGCTGACTGGACATTCTGGCCTGCTACACTAATAGCAACTAGAGGATGCATCTTGGTGATCTGGGACTTTGCGAGCCTTCAAAGCTGCTGCTAGAGACTTTGTCCTTCTCCTGAGCTTTTTTTCTTTCTTTTGGGACTCCTCCTGGTCCATATTATAAAAGACCAAAGTGGCCACCTTCAGGAGGTTTTTTAAGGTGCTATTTGGTCCTGTAGCTTTCTTTTGTAGTTTTTTTTTTTTTTTTTAATATTGGGAGCTGCCTGTGTAATAAATTTGTCCCTCAGGATGAGCTGTTACTTAACTGGATTAGAGAATAAAAAGATATACTTTTTTAGTGCCTCTTTTAGCCTTTTTATAAAGGCTACAAGATTTTTATTTGGCTTTTGTTCCATTATAGACAGTTTAGAGTAATTGAGAGGTTTGGCCCTGGTTTTCTGTAGGCCTTTAAAAATGCATATTAAAAAGGGCTTTTTCATTCATTTGGGTCACCATGATGTTTTGAATACATGGTGTTGTCTGGAGGTGGCCATCACACTTGGCACAGGTGGTAACAAAGAGAAGACAGTAGGAATCACCATATTGAGTGAACCCAGTTTTTAATGGTTGGCATTTGCACATTAAAGCTTGCTGGCCGGGCCATTTAAGCTGTCATTTCTGTTAGAAAAGAGATGGTTCAGGGATTGTTCCTTATTACTGGAAAATTTCCACCAAGAACCTTTACCCTTACTATCTGCCTAAAACAATTTCTTAGTAACTCCTGTATTACCAGGAGGTCACTGGGGGAACAACAGCTTGGGGTAAACACTCTATGAGGCATAGCACCTGTAGGTCCCCGCATGGGCTGAGGTCGCAGGACTCATGGAGAATTCAACCTCTACCACAGAGTAGGGTACTTTGATATTAGATACGAGGGTGGGGTCTTGTCAGCTGCATCCTCCTCAGATAGAAGGAAAGTGTCTGTCCACCCAGCTTTGCATCTGACACAGCAGAGCCATGTTCTCTCCTGAGACCACAGTGGGGCCTGGTTGCACCAAGAGGGAGGCTGTCTCACGGATCTGTCCTGGAGAGAAGAAGGATGGGTGAGGAGCCGCCCCACCTTGTTCTGAGCTGAGACTTCCCCAGGCCTCTCTCTGGGACCCTCAGTATCTCTGTCTCTGTTTTCTCTGAGTTTCCCCGTCCCCGCCCAATCCATCCTCTCTCTCTCTCTGCCTCTCCCTCCCTTGAGACCCCCACCCCTCATCCCAACCATCACCACCTAGGCTCCCCTGGCAGGGCCTGTACAGAGCCTGGGTCCCTAACTGAACCCGCTGGGCTTCTCACCTGCGATCAGGATGTCCAGGGGGGTCACTGGGGGCTGACCACCTAGAGGAGAGGTTGTGTCCACTGAACATCTGTACTGGCCCCCATGGGAGATGCTCACAGGGCCTAAGGGGAAGTCATCTTGGGAGAACTTCTGGCCAGAACTCTGGGGAAGGTGATGTATCTTTTTCTTGGACAGAGAGAATATTTTGCAGCCAACATCAGAGCAACACAGGAGGGTCAACCTCTCTCCATGGGCCATGACAGGACCCTGTGGAGTCAAATGGGAGGGCTCCCTAGGCACACCTGGAGTGTGCGAGGAGCTGGGACTCAGAGGGCTGGTTCCTTCCAAGCCTCTTCTTTCACCAGGTTGCCTCCAGGTATGGTCAGAATCTAGTGAGCTGCTGGAGCTCTTGGTCTCAGGTGCTAAAGTCTGCTAAACCAGACTGGTAAACCTCCACCTGTGGCTAGAAGTCATGGGGTCTGCCAGGATCAGGGCTTGGAACTGTCCATCGGACTGTTTTTCGGGGTCCAGGAGACAGAATAGCTTGTGTTCACCTTCCACGGTCAGAATGAACCTGTCAAATCCCAGCCGTGAAGGACATAATGGTGTCACCTTACCTCCTGAGGTCAGGACAGGGCTGGGCTGAGCTGAGAGGGTGGATTTGCTGTAGAATCCTAGGACAGAAGGAAGCACCATGTTAAATGGGGCTCACACCTTCCACATCATACCCCAGGGCTGGGCTGTGAGAAGGGAGACACCCCCTGAGAGCTGAACCCCTTCCTGAATGCAGTGCCTGGGGCTGGGATCCCTGAGTGTCCTCTCATCTGTCACCACCAGTTCCAGGCGGTCACTGGGTTCTGACAAGCCTGCAGGGCTGAGAAAGTGACAGCGATATCACTGTGCATAGTGCAGAAATGCAGGGAAATAGGGGAAGAAAACATAACTCCTCCACTGACCCTGGGTCGTGGGTATTCTTTCTACCAAACAATTCTCTGCTTGGGCTTCCCTTTTTTTGTTACTATTTTCTAACAGTCTCCTCCACATCTCCCTGGATACAGCACTTGATTCATTTCTGCCTCCTCAGTGCCCCTTGTCTAGTTCTCAGAACCTTCCTCCTCCTCTTTCCATGGTCCTGCCCTGAAGCCTTAGGGACATTGGGTGGGTTAGCACTCCAACTTTGAAAGGAAAGCTAATCTTTATTTAAATAATCATCTGTCATCCACTGTCTGTGGCCAGGACTTAGCAGCAAATACATCTGGTGCCTTCCTCAGTTGGACCCTTTCCAATGAGGCTGACTGAGGGCTGAGCACACAAGTGCATGAGAAGTGCTAATAGTTCAGCCAGAGTGCAATTAGAACCTGCCCTTTCTGTAGGAGGAGGATGGAAGAATCCTTGCTCAAAAGTATATGCTCTCACTTCTTCTATTCAGCATAGTAATAGAAGTCCTAGACACAGCAATTAGGCAATAAAAATACACAAAAGCACCCAAATCAGATAAAAAGTGATATTGTCTCTGTTTGCTGACATGATTTTATATATAAAAATCTCTAAAGACTCAACCAAACAACTTTTAGAACTGATCCACGAATTTAGTAGAGTTGCAGGATACAAAATCAACATGCAGAAATTGGTAGCATCTCTATATACTAAAAACAAACTATCCAGAAAGAAATCGAAAGAAAAATTACACTTATAATAGCTAAAAAATTACTTAGAATTAAATTTAACCAAGGAGGTTTAATATCTCTGCACTAAAATCTTTATAACATTGATGAATGAAATTGAACAAGACGCATATAAATGGGAAGGTAGCTTATGTTCATGGTCTGCAAGAATTAACATTGTTAAAATGTTCGTATAACAATGAGAACACATGGACACAGGGAGGGGAACAACACACACTGGGGCTTGTAGTGGGAGGGCGGATGATGAAGGGAGGGAGAGCATCAGGAAAAAGAGCTAATGCATGCTGGGCTTAATAACTAGGTAATGGGTTGATAGGTGCAGCAAACCACCATGGCACAAGCCTACCTATGTAACAAAGCTGCAGGTCCTGTACATGTGCCCTGGAACTTTAAAAAAAAGTTCATACCTGCAGACTCAATGCAATTCCTAACAAAATTCCAAGGTCGTTTTCCACAGAAATAGAAAAACAATCCTAAAATTTGAATGGGACTACAAAAGGACCCCAAATAGCCAAAACAATCTTGAGCAAAGGGAAGAAGGGGATATCACACTATGGAATCCCCAAATATCCTACAAAGCTACAGCCAGGAAGACATCATGGAACTGGAATAGAAACAGGTACAGTGATCAGTGCAACAGGGATGAAAGCAAAGAAGGAAACACACATATTTATGGTGAATTGATCCTCAACAAAGTTTCCAAGAACAAGAGAGGGCAGTCCTTTTGAATAAATGGTCCTAGGAGAACTGAGTCTCCATGGAGTGTGGAGGTCTGGGTCCTCCCTGGGCTAGTGGATGGCCAGAGCAGTATACACACTCGGCTCAGCTGAACGTCCCCTTTCCTGGGAGGAAGAAGGCTTCATTATTTTCTGTTTGAGGGTAAGCTGTGCAGCTGGGCATAGGACACATCCTGGGGATATTCATATGAAGAAGAATGAAATTGAACCCTTATCCCATATACAAAAATGGGTGGGAGAAAAGCTTCAAGACGTTGGTCCGGGCAAGGTTTTTTTGGATATGGCCCTGAAAACACAAGCAACAAAAGCAAAAATAGACAAAAGGTGTGGCTTCTAAACAGCTTCTGCAAACAGAATGAAGAGACAACTCAGAAATGGGAGAAAATAGTTGCAAGCTGTATACCTGATAAAGGGTTAATATGCAAAAATATGTAAGGAACTAAAACAAAGCAACAGCAAGAAACCAAAAACTACTTGAAACATGGGCAAAGTAGCTGAACAGGCATTTCTCAAAAGAAGACATACAAATGGTCAGCAGCTATATGAAAAGGTGCTCAGACAAAAGCTTTGTCTATTGAGATGATAATTTTTCATTCCTTTTGTTAAAATACTGAATTACATTGATTGAGTTTTTGAAAATTAAGCTATCCTTGCTTTTCATAAACAAAATCAAAGGATAACAAAAAACCAGTGTGGTCATGATATACTGTCTATTTTATAGAGACATGAATCTTACTTGTTAATATTTGTTAAGGGATTTATATTTCTGTGAGAGATCTTCTATGACTTTCCCATTCTGTAGTTTCCTTTTCAGGTTTTGGTATCAACTTGTTCCTAGTCTGATCAAATGTATTTGTGTAAATATATACAAAATATTCTCAGGGAAAATTTATGCAAGTTTGTGTGTGTGTGTGTCTGTGTGTTTCATGAGTGCATAAGAGTTTGAAAAAACCACCAACAAACCTTGCTGAAGTGGCATTTACTTTGTGGGAACATTTTTGATTACAGGATCAATGCATTTTATATATGTTTATGTATGATGATTCAGTTTTTCTATTTATCCTTATGTTCATTAAGTAAACTGTAATTTTTCGTATTTCATCTATCTCATCTACATTTTCTGTTATGTCAGCATAGAATTGCTGACAGTTTTCTTTCACCTCTGTAAAGCTGTGTGTAGGGTCTGTAGTGCTGCCTCCTATTTTGTTCCTGTATGGAAATGGATGCCTGCTCTTTTTTCATTTTTATTTTTCTCATTGTGGCCAAGATTCATGTATCATTAATGTTTTCAAGAATAAACATTTTGACTTTATTAATTTTTCTCTATTTTTTGTTTGTCCTCATTAGAAGCTCCCATTTTCCCATGTCATTGGTTTGATGTGTAATATTTACATGATCATTCAATTTAAAACATTGTCTGACTTCTGTTTTGTTTTATCAGTTAACTCATTGTGAATTGAGAGGTCTGCTACTTTATTTTGATAATGCAGGGATATTATTTATCTTTGCAGAATCAGGTGACTCCCAACGTTCCCGGAATCTTCTAGTGGTCTGTGTCAGGGGTCTGGGCTGGCTGGGGTTCAGTGATGTCTACTGGAGGCAGCTTCCATGCCTTCTGGGGTCCTGAGTCTCCATGGCTTGTGGGGTCTGGGTCCCCCCTGGATTAGTGGATGGCCAGAGTGGCATAGACACTGGGCTCAGCTGGAGAGGCCCCTTCCTGGGATGGAGGAGGCTCAGTTGCCTTCTGTCTGAGGGTAAAGCTGTGCAGCTGGGCGTAGGTCACATCCTGGGGGGCTTCAGATGCAGCAGCCTGCAGCGGGGGAGAGTGAGAGGGAAGGAACGTGGTGGGGGTGGGGGAGGCCTGGGGGCCTGGAGAGGAAAGGACTCACCTCAGTGTCCATCTGTCTGTCCTCTTCTGCCTGTCTGTCCTTTGTGTCCAGGAATTCCCCAGACAGTGGGGAGGGAGGAGAGGCCATTTCTCTCCTAGGTCTGGAGTGTTTCACCTTGGCATACGTCACTGCCTGGGGGTCTTCATCGTGTGGGCTCTGCTGGAGAGAGACAGTGGTGGGGGGTGTCCTTGAATCCTCCTGACTCCCTGGAGTCAATTTTCCCCACTGTTCCCAGGGTGATCCGATTACATCCCTTTCCTGACGGAATCTCAGGGACGCCCTAAGGCCGTGGAGGGTCTGGCCGCTCCCTCCCTGTGGTTCTGGCCTCTGCTCCTCACTCTGACCTTGCCCATTTGGCTGCAGCCTCACGCGGCCTTCCTGCAAGAGCTCGCTGCTGCCTCGGGGCCTTTGCACGGCTGTTTCCTCTGCCTGCAGGGGCTCGTCCATTAGAGGATCACGTGGCCCTCTCCGTCCAGGCTTCTCAGATGACAGCTGAGCAGACAGCCCTCCCTTTCCATTCAGACTGGCCCCACTGCCCCACACTCTCTGCCCTTTACCTGGTTTATGTTCCTTACAGCACGTTGCACTCCTGGACACGATGCATTTATTTGCATTTTGTCTCCCACCACGAGGTGAGCTCAGGAGGCGGGGGCGGCTTTGCTCCCTGCTGTGTCTGCAGCTCCCATGGGGAGCCCCATCCACAGTGAGCTCCCTGGGAACACTCACTAGATGAATGAATGAAGGGGAGCCCAGGGGACTGGAGTGGTTCATTTATTCGTCATCCTCCTGAGGCCTGGGGAGCTCTCTAACAACCAGATGGCCAAACAGAGGATGAGGAGCAGGAAGGGGACCCGGGAGGAGGCCCATGAGGTCCCAGGACAGCAGGAGAGAGTGAGGTCCCAGCAGGCAGGAGGCAGCGTGCTGGACAAGGAGGGGTCCACCGTGACGATGCTGAGAGCCGGGGGAAGGAGGACAGAGAAGTCCTGCAGGATTAGATCTGGCACCAGGAGGCCTTTGGTGCCGGGGACAGGGGCGGGTTCTCACCCGAGTGTCCATTTCCACCCCGTCCTCAGGCTGTGTGTCCTTCACGGCAGCACCTGCTGGGGTAGAGCAAGGGGTTCATCTCCTGGGAAGGTTCCCTGGGACCTCTCATTCCTGCTGGTCCCTGCCCTGTTCCCATTAGTGCCACTGCAACGCAGGGAGGGGCTGTGATGTCCCCGAGGTCCCACAATGTGGGTTCAGACCACTTCTCCCTGAGTCCCTGACCAATCCTAGCCTGTGCTCCTGCCCCCATTGCTATTGAAATTTTGGGACCCCCAGCTCCACCCCAGGTGCACCTTCTCTGCCTCTCACTCACAGAAGTTTTCTCCCTGGACGTCAGCAGCTGGGCTGGACCTGGGGGAGGATACGGGAGTGTAAGGGGACAGTGAGGTGGCTGTTGGGATGGGTGGGAGTCTGAGGTCTTTGGGCAGAATTACCTCCTCTGTAGGCCCCCGTCCTTGGGCTCTGGCTCGGCAGCCCCTGGAGGACGTTGGAAATCAGCCTGTCTCTGGGCTGGGGGAAGATGGACAGAGTCTCAGCTCTGGGAACGTTAGAACCACCTGCCTTGCACATGCAAGTCAAGAGGAAAGGAAACCTGAAAATACACTTGCAAGGATGTTTTAAATACTTTCTAAGTTTAGAAAAACCGAAAGAATAAAGCACTTCCATTACTCCCTCATTCATTTTCTTCTTTCTAGATTTTCTCACTGGGAATTTCTGGAGCAGAGTTTCTAAGATGACCTCTCCTATCTGGAGTCCCTTTGGCTGGTGCCCTGAGCCCACCCTCCATCAGCCCACGGGTCCCCCAATTTCCTACTTACCCAATGTCCTGTGTTTTCCCTGACGCCAGTGTTGGAGGAGGAGGAAGAGGAGGAGGGAGAGAAGCAGGATGGAGACCACCAAGACCCCGATCAGTACCTCCCAGTGCCTTCTCAGACCTTGGGCGTGATGACATCAGGAATGGGGATGATGTCATTGATGTGCACACCTACTGTGTGTGCACCTACTGTGTGTGCTGGGTCTTTCTTTCATTACCTCCAACCCTCACAGCAGTTGTGCAACCTGAGATTGCCACCCTCTCTCCACCCATTTCACAGATGCACAAACTGAGGCTCAGAGAGGGGAATCGCCTGCCCCAGACCCCTCCAGCCAGGAAGCGGCAGAGCTGGGAAGGAAACCCGGGAGTCTGAGCTGCAGCCCTTGTTCCTGCACCAGAGCCAAGCCCCAGAGTTGCAGGGAAAGAGCCTGACTGTCTTGAACCACCGCCCTGCTCCCCTCCCCTGCCCCAGGTCACCGTCTCTGCTGCAGGTGGGACCGGACAGGCCCCTGCGGAATCGGGTCTGGGAGGTTCCCTGGGAGGCCTCCTCTCCCAGGAGGGCACAGCTGGGAGTCAGAGCTGAAAGGAACTTTCCCACCCGCAGGCCTCTCTCCTTTACACTTGGAGAAACTGAGGCCCATGCAGGGGAGGGGCCTGTCCACATCACCACCTCCAGAGGAGCCTTAACCTAGGACAGAACCCACCCTTGGCTCCCCTAGACCCTGCCCACCTCCCACTCAGAGCCCCTCACTCACCACTGTGGGGGACTGACCCTGTAGGCATGAGGGGCTGGTCCTCAGGGCCTGCTGGGTTAGAACAGGGATGTGAGGGCTGGGGCTGCCCTGCTCCCCGCATCAGCTCGGCTTCTCCCCGCAACATCTCCTTCAGCCTTGACCCCCTCACCCCTCACCAGCCCAGCCTCAGGGCCTTGGGAGCCTGTGGTGCCTCCCAAGTCGCTGCCCGACTCCCACACCCGTGGAAGCAAGCCCAGCTGAGAATTGGAACGAGGACTTAGATCCACTGAGCATGTCTTGAGACAGGCCTCGGGCTTTGGAAACTCTCTGGACAGAGGCCTCTGAGACTCACCAGCTGTTGAGACGGACCTTGTGGGTGAGGGCCTGGGACCCTCCAAGGATCCTGGGTAGAAGGACAAGAGGAGGGTGAGAGTCTGGGGTTGCCCTTGGGTCTCCACATCAAATTGAACCTCTCCCTATATCTGCCCTGCAGCTTCCCAAGGACCATTTCTCTGTCCACCTGGCACCTTCTGGACCCTAGGTGAGGGAGAAGAGCATGGGCATGCCTGGGAGGGCCCCTGTTGTCCTCCTCCCCTCTGAGGGCTGAGTCCCCCACTGGCTGAGCCCCTCTCCCTCCATCCCTGCCCAGAGCTCTCCTGGCAGCAGGGCATGAACGGAGCCACTGAGCTCAGAGAGGACAGGGTCAGGAGCCTCACCTGAGACTATGAGCTCCAGGGGGTCACTGGGGTGTGACAGCAGGTAGTGGGAGAAGCCGTGTGAGCTGAAGCACCTGTAGGTCCCCCCGTGCACTGAGGTCACAGGACTCATGGGGAATTCAGCCTGGTGCTGCTGAGCTCCGTGCTCTGATCTCAGATGCAGTAGGGGATGGGCTGCCCGCTCCTTGATCAGAAGGAAAGTGTCCATTGGGCTCCGTGACTGACACAGCAGGGTCACGCTCTTTCCTGAGGTCACAAGAGGACTCGGCAGGGCTGAAAGGGTGGGTTTACTGTAGGCTCCTAGGAGAGAAGGAGGCACCGTGTTAAATGGGGCTCCCACCTCCCACATCATCCCCAGGGCTGGGCTGTGAGAGGGAGATGCCCCTGAGAGCTGACCCCCTTCCTGAGGGCAGAGCCTGGGGCTGGGACCCCTGAGTGTCCTCTCACCTGTCATCACCAGCTCCAGGGGGTCACTGGGCTGTGACCAGCCTACAGGGCTGCGATAGTAACAGCGGTATCTCCCTGCATAGTCCTCTGTCATGGATGGGATGGAGAATCTGGCCTTGTTCTTGGGCTCCAGTGGGTTCTGTCTGTCCCAGGGTGCTGGGCTTTCCTCTTTATCCAGACGGTACTCCCGAGCCTCCAGGGTCCCCTGACACCAGATGGTCACAGAGTTCCCCCAGCTGATCACAGAGCCTGGCTCAGCCCAGAGGGTGGGTTTGGGGAGGGGCCCTGGAAGAAAATCAGAGGCTGGATCCCAAGACCTTCCTCAGCCCTCAGATCCCAGCTCTCAGCCCCAGGACCCCCCCGTCATCCTCATCAGTCACCCAGAACTGCTGTCTCCTCCCCCAGCTGCCCATGGGTGGCCCCTTGTCCCAGTGAGGAGGAGGGACCTGGGACAGCTGGGGACAGACTCACCTGCCTGCATGTGGGTCCTGGGGCCCAGACTCAGCCCTGGAAGAGAGTTCCCTGTGAGGGATTTGCCCCGGAAGCCTGAGCAGGTCCTCTCTTTACCCTGAGATTTTTTTTTTTTTTTTTTTTTTTTTTTTTTTTTTGAGACGGAGTCTCGCTGTCACCCAGGCTGGAGTGCGGTGGTGCGATCTTGGCTCACTGCAAGCTCCGCCTCCCGGGTTCACGCCATTCTCCTGCCTCAGCCTCCCGAGTGGCTGGGACCACAGGCGCCTGCAACCACCCCCGGCTAATTTTTTGTATTTTTAGTAGAGACAGGGTTTCACCGTGTTAGCCAGGATGGTCTCGATCTCCTGACCTCGTGATCCGCCCGCCTCGGCCTCCCAAAGTGCTGGGATTACAGGCGTGAGCCACCGCGCCCGGCTACCCTGAGATTTTTGAGTCTCCTAAAGAACCAGGGCCTGGCTGTGAGGCAAATTTCCTCCAAGACTCGGGTCTCCCCTCCCCCTCTTTAAATCTCACCGAGGCAGAGCAGAGCCGTGAAGGTGGGGATCATGGCGTCTCCTCCCAGGGGCCCCAGCTGTGCAGATGGATGAGTCCTCAGTGCCGGCAGGACAAAGAGACACACAGGGTGTGGCCGCTTGGAGGCTGGGTCCTTCTCGTCATGGGGTTGTTCCATCAGCAGCCCACAGGAAGGGAAACTGCCCTCATTTGAACCCCAGCCTGGCTTTCATTTCCCCAGAGCTAGGGCTGAGGCAGGCACCAGGTTCTCTGCAGACATTTCAGACAGAAATGGGGTCTCTCTGATCCCAGCCTGCTGTCTGCCTGGTCTTAATTCCTCTCTTGACCAAACATCAACCCGTATGTATCGTGTGTTTGCAAAGCGCCTGACACTGGGGGTACATCATTGAACAAGTGAAAAAAAAAAAAAAACCAAAAACCTGCATTTTCAGGGTACAGATGAACCATAAAGCTTCCTTTTGCTGCCATAACAAATCACCACAAGCTTAGTGGCTTCACATAATGTAGGTTTATTGACTTACCGTCCCGGAGGTCACAAGTCCAAAATGGGTCTCCCTGGGCTAAAATGAAGCTGCTATCAGAGCCGTGTCCTCCTGGAGGCTCCAAGGAGAATCTGTTCCCTCGCCTGTTCAAGCCTCTGCAGGCTCCCGCATTCCTGCCTCTCCATTCCCTCCAACCTCAAAGCCACCAGTCCCGTTATCTGCCGCCTGCTTCCATGCACTCACCTCCTTCTCTCACTCTGACCCTCCTGCCTTCCTCTTTCACTTACTCAGCCCCTTGTGATTACATCAGGCCCACCTGGGTAATCTCCCCAACCCAAGATCCTTGACTTAATCACATCTGCAAAGTCCCTTTTGCCACATAAGCTTCCCCAACTCACAGGGTCTGGGCCTCAGGAGGTGGACATCTCTGGGAGGTCACTATTCTGCCTCCCACAGGCCTTCAGGGACTCCTTTAACCAAATCTCACATAGAGCACTTCTCTGCGATGACGGAGAGCGGCTGGGCACGCCAGTCGAATGCCTGGTGGGCCAGTACGCAGCCAGGTCATGGTCGGCTACTCATGTCCCATGGGACCTGCCCACTTGAGGCCAAACATTCCATCTCCACCAGAGCCCGGTAGACATCTAAAAACTGTGTCGCAAAACAAAACTCATTCTCTGCAGCGCTAGCACGATGTAGCTCCAAAATATATATATATATTTTTTCTTTTCTGAGATGCAGTCTCACTCTGTCGCCCAGGCTAGAGTGCTGTGGTGTGATCTCAGCTCACTGCAACCTCCGCCTCCTGGGTTCAGGAGACTCTCCTGCTTTAGCCTCCTGTGTAGCTGGGATTACAGGCACCCGCCACCACTCACAGCTAATTTTTGTATTTTTAATAGAGATGGGGTTTCACCATGTTGGCCAGGCCGGTCTCAAACTCCTGACCTCTGGTGATCCGCCCATCTCAGCCTCTCAAAGTTGCTGGGGTTACAGGCATGAGCCACCACGCCCAGCCAAGCATAGATTTTAAATGTTTTCACAGATGTTAGTATGCGGAGTGATGGACATGTTAACTGTCTTGATTCCATCATTCCACAGTGTATACATTTATAACACATTGTACCCCATAAATATATATAGTTGGTGAATTAAATATTTAGTAAAATTATTTTGAAAAGGAAAAAAGCCATAAATACATAACAAGCAAGCAAAAAGGCCAGATAGCTTCAACCCTTAGATCACTGCCTGTGTAAAACACTTCAGGTGGCCAGCTCTCAATAATCATCCATTTGAGTGGGCACGTCCTGCAATGATCTGGAATTGTAGTCTGTCCTAGATGGTGACTAACCATTTTCTGTCTCTGTTCTTCTTAAAAGGATGAGAGGACCTTCTAACTTTAGAACTGAAACATAGGGTGGGAGGGGAAAGAGGAAGCAGAAAAAACAAACCCCAAATTAATCGTATCTAACGGTCAGGAAGGCAAAGAAGGAGAGGCTTGCAGGAGGCTGAAAGTCAAAGTGCCGGGAAACGCATGAACACCACTGCCCTCAGGTTTCCAAGCACCTGCTTTTAGTACCTCATTCCGTATCCTTTTGGGTCACTCTCAGAATCACGGGACAGTATCTCATTTCGAGGATTTCCATGTGTCTCTCCACATTTGTGTGTAAGGACCTTATTGGAAGCTATTTCAGCCAAAGCTTGATGCGTCTGACAGTGGCTGGGGAAAAAGAAACTCCCAGAAATGGGGGCTAGAAAGCCATACACATATTGGCGAGTATCTCCTGTTTTGGCGGGAAGTTCTGGATGATGGTCTGCACATTATCAGAGATCCTGGTGTGGACCTGTCCATATTACCTGCTGTAGTGGTGTCCGCAATGCATGCTGATTTCAGAAATTCCTCTCCTTCTCTCTTTCATAAGGGAACCCTATTCCCTTAAACTTGGTTCCCAAATCAGTTACCTGCGCTCATATCCTTGTCTTAAGTCCTGCTTTCAGAGTAACCTGTGCTAGGCAAGGACTGGGAAATGCCAGGAGGTTTTTCGATGTCATCACCCCTTTTCTAACCGCTCAACATGCCTTGCCTTTACCAGTCCTGGACTTCTTGTATTTTGCTTCTTTTTTTTTTTTTTTTTTTTTGTGACAGGGTGACACTCTGTCATCCAGGCTGGAGTGCAGTGGTGCAATCTTGGCTTACTGCAACCTCAGCCTCCTGGGTTCAAACAATTCTCCTAACTCAGCCTCCCGAGTAGCTGAGAGCTGAGATTACAGGCAGCTGCCACCACACCCGGCTAACTTTTGTATTTTTAGTAGAGATGGGGTTTCACCATGTTGGCCAGGCTGGTTTCGAACTCCTGACCTCAGGTGATCTGCCCGCCTTGGCCTCCCAAAGTGCTGGGATTACAGGCGTGAGCCACCGCGCCCGGCCTCATTTTGCTTTTGTATTCGTGCACTCACCACTCAGTAAATCTTATCCATCCTCACTTAAGAAACATTTAAACATGTCAACCTGTGGCCATCCCAGGACACAAGAGATAAAGGCGAGCAAAGCAGATATACTGGATTCACAGTAACCCAGACTTCATTTCAAATTACCTCCCCTCCTAGAAAATCTAGCATCCTAGCAAAAATTAAGTTGATAAAATCACTACGCAAAAAGTTTAGAGATAGGACCAGTCCCGGGAAGGAAAGATTTAACGCAATAGGACAGGATAAAAGAAATACCCACTGGGTCCTGCACTCACCACCTGGGTGCAATAGTTCCATGTAGCAAACCTGAGCATGTATCCTCGTATCTAAAATAAAAGTTGAAGTTCAAAAAATAAAGAAGAAAAACAGAAAGCAATTGAGATGGAGGGTGGTGAAGAAGCTGAAGGAGAGGTCAGATGGTGATGATGAATTGGTATTATCTGAATGAAGGGATGCCTGGAGGTGGAGAGAGAAGCATTGCAGGAGGTCCTGGTCATAGGTATTCAAACGGGTGGATCCTAAAGCCTTACAAGAAGTAAAAAGACCACAAGAGTCGTTCATTCATTTCCAAGTATATTTCACTCTAGAGTCAAGCTTTTGTGAGATACTGAAAACAGGACCTAGTTGGAATGAATCATAAATTTCCATCTTAACTTGGGGTCACGGGTGTTCTGTGATTCATAAGAACCCATGTTTCATTGTTTCGTTTTCTTTTTTTTTATTATTATACTTCAAGTTCTGGGATACATGTGCAGAACGTGCAGGTTTGTTACATAGGTATACACGTGCCATGGTATTTTGCTGCACCCATCAACCTGTTGTCTATATTAGGTATTTCTTCTAATGCTATCCCTCCCCCAGCCCCCCAGCCCGTGACAGGTGCCGGTGTGTGATTTTCCCCTCTTCGTGTCCATGTGTTCTCATTGCTCAACTCCCACCTATGAGTGAGGACACGTGATGTTTGGTTTTCTGTTCTCGTGTTAGTTTGCAGAGAATGATGGTTTTCAGCTTCATCTGTGTCCCTGCAAAGGACATGAACTCATCCTTTTTTGTGGCTGCATAGTATTCCATGGTGTATATGTGCCACATTTTCTTTATCCAGTCTATCATTGATGGGCATTTGGGTTGGCGTATTTGATTTTATCCAGGGTTCTACAGATGCCAAGGAAGGGGTGCAGCTCTACTTAAGTTTACCTCTTGGTCTCTCCTTGGGACCTCCTCTGACTGTGCCATGCCTGAAACACCAACCCCTCTGTCACCACCAGGATCAATTACAACTGCTCCATGCACATGAGACTACTGCATAGTCTGGGAGCAGTTGGCCTGGGGACAGTGGGATTGGAAGACCATGGAGGGTAGGAGAGCTCGCAGTCCACACAGCAGCCAGAAGGGAGGATATTTCAACATTCTCAAATCAATAGATATGATATCTCATGTCAACAGAAGGAAGAACAAAAAACATATAATCATGGGCAGGCGCGGTGGTTCATGCCTGCAATCCCAGCACTTTGGGAGATTGAGATGGGTGGATCACTTGAGGTCAGGAGATCGAGATCAGCCTGGCCAACATGATGAAACCCCATCTCTCTCAAAAATGCAAAATATTAACTGGGTGTGGTGGTGTGCACCGGTAGTCCAGCTACTCGGGAGGCTGAGACAGGAGAATCTCTTGAACCCAGGAGGTGGAAGTTGCAGTGAGCCAAGATCGCGCCACTGCACTCCTGCCTGGGTGAAGGAGAGACCCTCTGTCTAAAAAAAAAAAAAAAAAATTATATGATCATCACAATAGATGTTAAAAAAACATTTGACAAAATTCAACATCCCTTCATCATTAAAACTATCAACAAATTAGGCCTAGAAGAAACACACCTCAACAAAAAATCCCCAGATAATTCCATTAACAAGTATGCAAAGCATCTGAATAGTTGCTTCTCAAAAGAAAATGTACAGATGGCCAACAGCTATATAAAACACTAATCATCGGCCAAGCGCGGTGGCTCACACCTGTAATCCCAGCACTTTGGGAGGCCAAAGCAGGTGGATCACTTGAACCCAGGAGTTTGAGACCAGCCTGGGCAACATGGTGAAACCTCATCTCTACCAAAAATACAAAAAAAGAAAAAAAAACAGCTGGGCGTGGTGGCATACACCTGTAGTCCCATCTACTGAGGAGGCTGAGGCAGGAGGCTCACTTGAACCCAGTAGGCAGAGGTTGCAGTGAGCCAAGATCACACTACTGCACTCCAATCTGGGTGACAGAGCGAGACTTCATCTCAAAACACAAACAAACAAACAAAAACCCACAATCATCACTGGCATCAAATCGAAACTACAATGAGTATCATCTTATTTCAGTTAAAATGTCTATTATCAAAGAAACATATAAAAACATGCTGGGCTGGGCACAGTGGTTCACGCCTGTAATCTCAGCACTTTGGGAGGCCGAGGCAGGCGGATCACGAGGTCAGGAGTTTGAGACCAGCCTGGCCAACATGTTGAAACCTCGTCTCTACTAAAAAGACAAAAATTAGCCGGGCGTGGTGGCGCTCGCCTGTAATCAGGAGGCTCCTGCTACTCGGGAGGCTGAGGGAAGAGAATCGCTTGCACCCAGGAGCTGGAGGTTGCAGTGAGCTGAGATGGCACCACTGCACTCCAGCCTGGGCGACAGAGTGAGACTCCATCTAAACAAACAAACAAATAAATAAATAGATCAATAAAATAAAATAAAAACATGCTGGTGAGGATGTGCTGACAAAATAACTCTTAGACACTGTTGGTGGGAATATAAATTAGTACAGCCATTATGGAAAACATGGAGATTCCGGCCGGGCGCGGTGGCTCACACCTGTAATCCCAGCACTTTGGGAGGCCAAGGCGGGCGGATCACGAGGTCAGGAGATCGAGACCATCCTGGCCAACAGGGTGAAACCCTGTCTCTACTAAAAATACAAAAAATTAGCCAGGCGAGGTGGCAGGCACCTGTAGTCCCAGCTACTCGGGAGGCTGAGGCAGGAGAATGGTGTGAACCCCGAGGGGCAGAGCCTACAGTGAGCCGAGATCACGCCACTGCACTCCAGCCTGGGTGACAGTGAGACTCTGTCTCAAAAAAAGAAAAAAAAAAAAAAACACGGAGATTCCTCAAGATACTGAAACTGCAATTATCGTAAAATCCAGTGAGTTCACTACTGAATATTCATGCAAAGGAAAAAAATCTCAGGACATCACAAGAGTCCCTGCACCCGTGTGTTTATTGCAGCACTCTTCACAAGTCAGCATACGGAATCAACCTAAGTGTCCATCAGTGGATAAAAGGGTAAAGAAAATGTGGTATGTATACACAATGGAAGAGGGGTCATCCATAAAAAAGAATGAAATCCTGACATTTACAGCAACATAGTTGGAACTGGAGGTCATTATGGTCAGTGAAATAAGCCAGGAACAGAAAGACAAATCTCGAATGTTCTCACTCATACGTGGGAGCTAAAGAAGTGGATTCCTAAACAGAGAGAGTAGACTGGTTGGCCAGGTGTGGTGGCTTGTGCCTGTAATCCCAGTGATTTGGGAGGCCAAGGCAGGTGGTTCACTTGAGGTCAGGAGTTCCAGACCAGCCTGGCCAATGTGGCAAAACCCCTTCTCTACGAAACATACAAAAATTAGTTGGGCGTGGTGGTGTGCACTGTGGTCCTAGCTACTCGGGAGTCTGAGGCAGGAGGATCGCTTGAGCCCTGGAGGGTTGAGGCTGCAGTGAGCCATGATTGTGTCACTGCATTCCAGCTTGGGCAACAGAGCAATACCTTGTCTCAAAAGAAAAAAAAAAGGCCGGGCGTGGTGGCTCATGCCTGTAATCCCAGCACTTTGGGAGGCTGAGGCGGGTGGATCACTTGAGGTCAAGAGTTCGAGACCATCCTGGCCAACATGGTGAAACCCTGTCTTTAGCCTGGCGTGGTGGCATGCATCTGTAATCCCAGCTACTCAGGAGGCTGAGGCAGGCGAATCTCTTGAACCCAGGAGGCAAAGGTTGCAGTGAGCCAAGATCACGCCACTGCATTCCATCCTGGGTGACACAGCAAGACTCTGTCTCAAAAAAAAAAAATGTGTAGACTGGTGGTTACTAGAGCTGGAAAGGGTGGGAGATAAGGAGATGTTAGTTACGGAGTATAGAAATACAGCTGGATAGGAGAAATAACTGAGTATTTGACAGTACAGTAGGGGAAGTATAGTTAACAATAATATATTGTGTATTTCAAAACAACTAGAATAAAAGAATTGTAATGCTCCCCAACAAAAAGAAAAGATAAATATTTGAGGTGATGGATATTCTAATTACCCTGATTTTATTATTACCCATTGCATACAAGTATCAAAATATCATAAGTACCCCAAACCTATATACAACTATTATATATGGATAAAAATAAATAAATGGAACTCTGGCACCAACTTTAAGGCATAACGTGTACAAATCCAGGGGATCTATTTAGGGCACTGGTTGTCCTGAGTGTGCTAATTTGATTGTGGCAATCATTACACAATGTATACGTATATCAAATCATCATGTTGTACACCTCAATATATACAATCTTGGTTGATTAAATCATTTTAAGGATAAAAAAGGATTTTTTAAAAAGATAAAAAGGAAAACACTGAACTTCTCTGTGGCTCTCCTTTTTCCCTGCTCAGCTTTGAATAACTGTGAAGGCAAAGACTGGATGCAGGTGACCTGTGCACCCTAGGACCTGGCGTGGGATTGCCAGACTTTAGGTCTTTAGGATTATTTGTTGATGTACAAAGGAAAGCATGGCCCAGAGAACTGGGCTCTGCTCTCAGTTGCATAAATATGGCCCATTCTTAAGGTCAGCAATTAAGCTCCAGGAAGATCCCTAGAGTCAGCTGAACAGAAAATTACAACAAAGTCTCTGGGGCAATTGGGGATTTCCAGGAGACATAGGAGCAGCTGGGGACTGCGTCAGTGATAATGAAATCAGCTGGGTGGATGTAGCCGGGTCTCTAGAAACAGCCAGCGGATGTAGCCGGGTCTCTGGAAACAGTCAGGTGGATGTAGCCGGGTCTCTGGAAACAGCCAGGTGGATGTAGCCGGGTCTCTGGAAACAGCCAGGTGGATGTAGCCGGGTCTCTAGAAACAGCTAGGTGCATGTAGCTGGGTCTCTGCAAACAGGCAGGCAGCTATGGGGGATTGGGGGTGGTCACTGGAAACAGCTAGATGACTGTAGCTGACTCTTTAGTAACAGCCGAATGTAACTAGGTCTCTGGAAAGTCACCTTGAGGACTGAGCTGGGAGATGGGAGGTGCCTCGTGGGAGCTTATGTCATGGGTAGAGGAGCACAGTTTATTGCCTGGCAGGGCGTACGTGTGGGAATAGATTCCCCGGCCTCTCTCTCCTCTCACCCTCTGCTCTCCTGACAGTGCCTCCCATGGCTGAACTCAACCAGACACTAGACACAAGAAGATGTTGGTGATGCAATCCATAGAGTCAGCCTCCAGGGCAGAGACAAGGTGGGAAAGGACAGAGGGTGTATTAGGAGAGGCCAGAACTTCCAGTGGGAACTGCTGCCACTGAACCGAGAAACCTAAATGTAAGGGGAGTAGTTGGATCCTAGAGTGGCAGGACTCAAGTGTCAGAAGTCAGTCGACAAAGGTGAGAATCTGGTGTGTTGAATTGGGTGTGGTTATCATAGAACTGGGTGTGGTGATCATAATGGAAAGCAGAATCAAGGCAGTAATCAGAATAGACTGTCTCATGCAGCCCTTTAGTGTTGTCTAGTTGACCGCAGCGTTCTAAGACGTGAAATAGATAGGAAACTTACTTCATTCTTACTTGATTTGTATAAGCAGAACATTTCTTGGCAAAGAGAACAAGAATCTAATTAAAATCATAAAATAGACAGTTACAGTCTCTTAATCAATTACTAGAATTTCACCAGTTTATAGACCCAGAACCCCTTGAATTAAAGGGAAGACCAGGTATCCTTGAAGGCGCTGCCCCGGTATATACTATAAAAAGTTAAACAATTATATTTATCTCAGCTTCCCTTAAATGGACCTATGGCCTTTATCATGGTAGCTGTGTACTGGGTAAAGGAAATGATCAGATATTTTGGGTGCAACTAGACACTGGCTCTGAGCTAACACTAACTTCAGAAGACCCAAAACATCATGGTGACCCTCCAGTCAGATTAGAAGCTTATGGAGGTCAGGTAGTCAATGAACCTTTAGCTCAGATTTGTCTCCTGTTGAATTTTCTTGGCCACCAAATGCATCCTGTGGCTTTATTCCTTGCTCTGGAATGTATAATTGGATTAGACATACTCAACAACTATCAAAATCCCCACAAGTGGGGAAAAAATAGGACAAGCTGTGGGGCATATGTAAGACTAGTGAATGTGTTGATGTTTGCATAGTATTCAACTAGTAATTGCTCCATAGGATAAGCTGATTGAGTTATTGTTGAGTTTTTTAAAAAATATTCTTTTTCTTGTATAAAACGACATTTAAAAATCCACTCTGTTACAAGTATGCAGGTTTCTTTTCTGTTATTTTATTACGATATTTTAATTGAAAAATAATAATTGTATATATTTATTGGGTACCATGAGATGCTTTGATATATGTTTACCTTTGCAATCCGGCCAAAGGCATGCCCATGGTAAGTGTGTTATTGTTTATTTTAAATGTGCACAAAAATTAATTCAAATGAGGTACTGTCTCCCCCTAGTGGTTCTCAAGTAATTTTCCGTTTTAATCTGAATAGGGAGAGCATCTAACTTTCTAAGAGGGGTGGAGACAACCAAGTCCCAGCGCACAGAGGATTCAGAGGTCTCCTGACATGTGTGAGTGCGTTCAGGTTTGTGCATGTGTGTGCATGTGTGAATGTGTGAGTACATGTGCATATGTGTGTAAGTGCATAAGTGGGATTAGCTCTCTGTCTTCACCCATCCATGCATCCGCTCAGACACCTTAATTGATCCCTGATCATATGCTCCATCTTGGAGGCCTAAGATGAGCAAGTTCAGGGGATCTTATGTACAGCGTAGCTGGTGATGGATGCGCTGATTCATTTGACCGTGGCTATTATTTCACAATGTATATGTATATCAAATTATCACCTTGTGCATCTTGAATATATGCAATCACTGCCAATGAAATCCTTAAAAAAATACTGACACCTCCTTTGTAGCTCTTGTTAACCCCATGTAACCTTGAACAACATGAAGGCAGAGATTGGGTCCAAGTGATCTATACACCCCAGAACATGACACAGGACTGCCAGATGTGAGGTCTTTAAACTATTCATTGGTGCATGAAGTAAAGCATGACCCAGAGGACTGGTCTCAGCTCTCAGATCCATATGTATAGCTCATTCTCAAGGTCAACAACTAAACTCTAGGAGAATGTTCAGGATCAGCTGAGTAGACGATTGCTGGGGCAGCTGGGGGGATTTACAGAAGACATTTGGAAACTGCAGGGGGATGCAACATTGTTAATGGAATCAGCTGGGATGGCTATAGCTGAGACTCAGCAAACAGCCAGGAGACTGGAGCTGGGTGTCTTGAAACAGAGAAGTGACAGCAGCTGGATCACTGGAAACAACCAGGTGACTGGAACTAGGTGTCTGGAAACAGCCAGGTGATTGCAGCTGGGTTTCTAGAAGTAGCTGCAATGCCACCTCTTTGAGGTGCTGGTCAGTTGTGGAAGGAATCACCTGGTTAATGAACTTTCTAGATGCTGACTAGAGAACTTTGGGCTCTACCTCTTATCTCCAGAACAGTTGACTGGTTTTGCAGACCAGGATGATTCCAAGGGGAAGCCCTCCAGATGGCTTCTTGAGGCTTTTCCAAGCATGACTTCCTCAGGCGCAGGGGGCAGTGGTCCCGGAGTCAGTGCCTGGCGAGGGCTGTGTACATGCTAGACTCAGCCATGGGCACCATGGACTCTGGGGACACAGCCTGGGCTGTCCTCCAAGTGAAGGCCTGGTGGTCCAGCTGAGCATATGTCACCTCCAGGGGTCCCCTGCAGCAGGGGTCTGAGGACAGAGACCCGCGGTGAGGTAGGGGAGATGAGGGTGAGGGTAGGGGGTCTAGAGGGTGGCCCATTGGAGGTGAGAAGAAAATATTTGCTCAATATTACTATAATCTGCACTTATTTATGGTTTAAAAAATCTTAATGAATTAGGAATAGAATGAAACATCATAAACATGTTAAAGGATGCCCAGCAACAAATCAATAGCAAATATTATATTTAATGATGAAGCTTAGATCAATTTCCACTAAAATATGAACAAAACGAGGCTTAATGGTCTTTCCACTTTTATTCCATTTTCTACTGAGGTGTCCTAACTGATGTAATAATATCAGTAAAAGTAAAAAACTAAAAATAAGATATATGAGGGCTAGAGAGATTTTTTCATTACTTGTAGGTAGTAAGATTCTCTAAATAGAAAATTCAAAGTCCATTAGGATTTATAAGAAAATAAAAACAAATCCATATCAATGACATTTCTATACAGCAGGGGTAGTAGTTAGAGAATCGAATGGCCCCAAACTCCTGGCCTCAAGCAATCCTCCCACCTTGGCTTCTCAAAGAGCTAGGACTAACAGTCGCCGTGGAGAGCAGTTTGAGGATATCTCAAATAACTAGGAATGGAACTACCATTTGACCCAGGAGTCCTATTACTGGGTATATATCCAGGGAAAATAAATCATTCTAGTCAAGAACACACACACTTGGATGATCATTGCAGCACTATTGACAATAGAAAAGACATGGAATCAACCTCGTTGCCCATCAACAGTGAACCAAATAAAGAAAATGTGGTCCATATACACCATGGAAGACTACACAGCCATAAAAAAGAATGAACTCATGTCCTTTGCAGCAACATGGATGCAGCTGGAGGCCATTATCTTACGTAAACTAATGTAGAAACTGAACACCAAATACCACATATTCTCACTTATAAGTGGGAGCTAAATATTAGGTACACATCTTCCCATAAAGATGGCAACAGTAGACGCTGGGGACCACTGAGGGTGGAGAGGAGGGGGATGGGGCTGAAAAACTACCTGTTGGGTACCATGCTCCCTACCTGGGTGAGGGGCTCAGTCTTACTCCAAACCTCAATGCCACACAATATTCCTTGGTAACAAACCTACACATGTACCCCCAATTCTAAAATAAAAATGGAAATAGAAAAAGCAGTGTATAGGCCGGGCGCGGTGGCTCACGCCTGTAATCCCAGCACTTTGGGAGGCCCAGGCGGGTGGATCACAAGGTCAGGAGATCAAAACCATCCTGGCTAACATGGTGAAACCCTGTCTCTACTAAAAATACAAAAAATTAGCCGGGCGCCTGTAATCCCAGCTACTTTGGAGGCTGAGGCAGGAGAATGGCGTGAACCCGGGAGGCAGAGCTTGCAGTGAGCTGAGATGGTGCCACTGCCCTCCAGCCTGGTGACAGAGTGAGACTCCGTCAAAAAAAAAAAAAAAAAAAAGAAAAGAAAAAAGAAAAAGAAGTGTATAAAGGTGTGGGCAAATGAGAGGGATGAAGCACCCCAGGAAGCCACTGCCACTCCCAGGATGGGAGGTCAAGGGGTGGAGAGAGCCCTGTGTGGGAGATGGGAGGTGCCTTGCGGGAGCTGATGTCATGGGTAGAGGAGCACAGTTGCTGACAAACCACAGCCTGGCAGGGCATATGTGTGGGAATTGATTCCCCGGCCTCTCTCTCCTCTCACCCTCTGCTCTCCTGACAGTGCCTCCATGGTTGAACTCAATCAGACGCTAAAGGCAAGGAGACACTGATGATGCAATCCATAGAGTCAGCCTCCAGGGCACAGACAAGGTGGGAAAGGACAGAGGGTGTATTAGGAGTTCAGCACTTTGGGAGGCTGAGGTGGGAGGATTACGAGGTTAGGAGTTCGAGACCAGCCTGGCCAACACAGTGAAACCCTGTCTCTAAAAAAAATACAAAAAATTATCTGGGTGTGGTGGTGTATACCTGTAATCCCAGCTACTCAGGAGGCTGAGGCAGGAGAATCACTTGAACCTGGGAGGTGGAGGTTGCAGTGAGCCGAGATCGTGCCATTGCACTCCAGCCTAGGTGACAGAGTAAGACTCTGTCTCAAGAAAAAAAAAAAAAAAGGAGTGGCCTGTGGGGAAACAGCAGTGCCCTCAATGTGGGGACAAAGCATCAGGAGAGACTGGGACTGCACGTCTGAGCCAGGGAGGACAACAGAGCAAATCACAGGCAAAGAGAGAAGAAGCCCAGCTGGGCCAGAGTGCATGGAAATAAGAGAGGAGGGGACACACGTGAGCAGTGCTAAGAAGGCAGAACACATGGTTGGACCTGATTAATGTTGATTGTGGGGTGAAAGAGAGAGAGAAGTGATAATGGTTCTTAAAGCTCTGGCTTGGCTAACTTAGTGCACTTTTTATCTGTTAGCTCCTCTCTTTTGTGTGTTTTTACTACTCTTTCTCATTTTAAATTATAGTAAAAAAAAAAACAAATGAAATAAAATTTACCATATTTACTCTTTCTAACTCTACAGTGCAGTATTGTGAAGTGGTTTGACATTGCTATGCAACCATCGCCATCACCATCCCCAAAGTATTTTATCTTTCCAATTGAAGCTTTATATTCAGTAAACACCAACTCTCAGTTTCCAGGCCCCCAAGCCTCTGTTAACCGTGATTCTACTTCCTGAGTCTGTGAGTTTGACAGGTAGCTCATATAGATAGAATCTTAGCAATATTTGCAATATTTGTCCTTTATGAGACTGGCTTATTTCACTTAGCATAATATCTTCAAGGCTCTCCATATTATAGTGTATGTCAGTCACAATTTCATTTCTTTGAGAGACTGAACAGTATTTCCTAGTTTCTATAACATTTGTTTATCCATTTATCCATCTTTGGGTTTTTTCTACTTTTTTGTTAATGTGAATAACGCTGTTATGAACATGAGTATATGAGCATCCTTTTAAATCCTTGCTTTAATTTTCCCAGAAATTGCCGGGTCATATGGTAATTCTGTGTTTAATCTTCTGAGGAACTGACATACATCTGGGTAATTTTTACACTGCGTTCATTTTTTGAGAGCCTAAGAAGCAATATGAGGCTATGGTTATTATCATTTTTATTCAATACTGAGTCCCAAAGTCCTTGCGTATTAACTGGCATAATGTATGATCCAACAGATATTGTGGGGAGAAGTGATTAAATAAAGGACGCAATTGTCTAGAGGGAACTTAGAGCCCAGAGACCACACTTGGAGCATTTGTCTTCCTTGTCCAGCAGACAGTGCAGAACTGTGAGACGCGGGCATCACTGACAATGAACCCAAAGGGGCTGAATGTCGGGAATCCTGCAGACACCAGGAAAGAGATGCTTCTCAGCCAATGGCTTGGGTTCTGAATCCAGGTTACCCACAGTGATAAAATACCAGCTAGACCATGAGAGGAGACAAACATGCTCACCAGGACGAGGATGGTGTGTGTGGCTCTAGTTTCATGAGATTTTCAGGGGGAGAGGCCGTGGCTGCGAATGCATTGGACTGTCTGCTTGTGTCTATATAAGAAGAGGATCATGGAGCTGCTGGTGTAGTCCATGAGGGCCAAAGACATACCATCCACAAGGGAGAAAATGACTGCATTTGCTAAGAATAGCAATCATCCTAGAATGGGTGAGGAGAGTACCTATACATTTATTCCATACTCACGTTTTTGCTCTTCATTGGGCCAGTTACATGCATTGCAATATGGGTATATGCCACAATTTGCAAGATCCAGCAGAGGGGGCAGCAGAAAACAATGCACTTTGTGGACCTAATTCGGAGTTCCATCCTCCTAGAGATACTGAGGTTGAAGCTTCATGGCCTGGAAGCCACTGGGGAGACAGGCGGTGCTGAGGGAAACCCCTCTGGCCACTCTGTGTATAGATAGAAGACAAGTTTCATCCAGCCTCGTCCAGGAAGGATTTCATTCCAAAAGCTGCCATTGTCTGGGGGATTCGTTTAGAGAAAAGAACCAGGTTGTTGGCTAAGACCAGCTGGCTGAGAATCAGGTCTCTGGGTCTCAATATCTGTGAAGTGATAAAAGTAAAGCTAAAAAAGTAAAGGAGTGAAGAATTTCCAAGGATTCCAGCAGCGGTCTGAGTGAGAAAGACAATACCCTGATTTAAGTTAACAGAAACCGATCCATCCATTATAGAAACGGTATCACATTTCCTCAAAATGTTAAAAATTGAACTATAAGACACCAGATTTCAACTTCCGGATAATTATCCAAAAGAACTCAAATCAAGATCTTGAAGAGATATATCCACACTGATGAATTCACTGCACCAGTATTCACAATAGCCGAGGTAAATAAATGACATAAATGCCCATTGATGGAGGAATGGATTAAGATAACATAGTATAATAAATATAAAGTTTTATTCAGTCTTGAAAAAGAAGAAAATCAGATCATTTGTGATAGCAGGATTGGACCCAAATGACATTATGCTAAGTGAAATGAATCCAACTCTTAATAGATAAATATCTTATAATCTCACATAATTGTGGAATCTAAATAGTGAAATTCATAGAAGCTGAGAGTAGAATGGTGGTTAGCAGGGGCTGGAAATGGGAAAAATAAGATGTTGGTCAAAGGATACAAAGTTTCAATTCTCCGAAATGAATAATTCTGGAAAGCTAATGTATGGAATGAAAGCTATAGGTAACAATACTGTATTGTACACTTAAAATTAGCTGAGAGTAGATCCTAAGTATTTTCACTGCACACACACATGCACACAGAAATAATAACTAACTGAGGTGATTAATATATGGTATTTCTAGTTCTAGATCCCTGAGGAATCACCACATTGACTTCCACAATGGTTGAACTATATTGTGGCACTATTCACAATAGCAAACACTTGGAACCAAGCCAAATGTCCAACGATGATAGACTGGATTAAGAAAATGTGGCACATATACACCATGGAATACTATGCAGCCATAAAAAATGATGAGTTCATGTCCTTTGTAGGGACATGGATGAAATTGGAAACCATCATTCTCAGCAAACTATTGCAAGGACGAAAAACCAAACACCGCATGTTCTCACTCATAGGTGGGAATTGAACAATGAGAACACATGGACACAGGAAGGGGAACATCACACACCGGGGCCTGTTGTGGGGTGGCGGGTGGGGAGGGATAGCTTTAGGAGATATACCTAACGTTAAATGACGAGATAATGGGTGCAGCACACCAACATGGCACATGTATACATATGTAACTAACCTGCACATTGTGCACATGTACCCTAAAACTTAAAGTATAATTAAAAAACAAACAAACAAACAAAAAAAACAACTCCGAGACCTGAGCAGGCAGACACACAAGCAGCTGGACGTCCGCAGATCAGCGGAAGAAGAAGACACTGGCGGCTGAGAGGAGCACGTCAGTGCAGGAACACACAGATGGCTGGATGTCGAGAGGAACGCAAGGACGGGCACCAGCACACCACAGGCCACCGACTGGCAGAACGACATGGAGCTTGGCTGGGACAGTCAGAGAGGATCCCGGGCCGCCAGGGGCCCGACTCCAGGAGAAAACCATCGCCCTTCTGCTGAGAGCTGTTTCCACTCAATCAAACCTTGCACTCATTCTCCAAGCCCTCATGTGATCCGGTTCTTCCGGTACACCAAGGCGAGAACCCTGGGATACAGAGAGCCGTCTGTCCTTGCAGGAAGGCAGGGGTCTAATGGAGCTGATACACACAAGTTGCCTATGGAAGGCCGAAACTAAAAGAGCACCCTGTAACATGCGCCCACTGGGGCTTCAGCGGTTGTCATTTTGAATGTGGTGAATTTATTTTTATCTATTTATTTATTTTTAAGTTTCAGTAGTTTTGGGGGAACAGGTGGTGTTTGGTTGCATGCATAAGTTCTTTAGTGGTGATTTTTGAGATTTTGGAACACCCATCACCCGAGCAGTGTACACTGTACCCAATGCGTAGTCTTTTATCCCTCACCCCCTCCCATTGCTCCCCCTGGGTCCCCAGAGTCCATTATATCCTTCTTATGCCTTTACATCCTCATAGCTTAGCTCCCACTTATGAGAACATATGATGATGGTTTTCCATTCCTGAGTTATTTCACTTAGAATAGTGGTCTCCAACTGCCTCCAGGTTGCTGCGAATGCCATTATTTTGTTCCTTTTTATGACTGAAGTATTCCATGGTGTGTGTGTGTGTGTGTGTGTGTGTGTGTGTGTGTATATATATGTATATATACGCATATATACATGTTTTTTATATGTTTGTTGGCCATTTGTATATCTTCTTTAGAGAATTGTCTAAAGTCAAAAGGGGAATTGGATTTGGAGGGAACAATTTTATGGCTATTTTTCAGTATAATCATCAAGTGAAGATAGTGTCTGTTCGGCCAGTGTTACTTTAATCCATTACCTGTAGCCAGGAAGGGAGATGTTTATCACAGAGATAGGCACCAACCTGGAATGCTTTCCTCAAAAGTGATTAACTGTAGTGTGAACCCTAAATTTCACCGCAGTTTGGTCCTGATTTGGCACAAGATATGCTTTATCCACTGATGTGAAATGCCCAGGTGTTTTTTGTACGGTTTTGTTGCTGAAAGACACAATACCCTCTAATCTAAGGCATCCTCTCCAAATCCCACTGAACAATACCCTCTAATCTAAGGTGTCCTCTCCTAATCCCACTGAACAATACCTCTAATCTAAGGCGTCCTCTCCAAATCCCACTGAACAATATCCTCTAATCTAAGGCATCCTCTCCAAATCCCACTGAACAATATCCTCTAATCTAAGGCATCCTCTCCAAATCCCACTGAACAATACCCTCTAATCTAAGGCATCCTCTCCAAATCCCACTGAACAATATCCTCTAATCTAAGGCATCCTCTCCAAATCCCACTGAACAATATCCTCTAATCTAAGGCATCCTCTCCAAATCCCACTGAACAATACCCTCTAATCTAAGGCATCCTCTCCAAATCCCACTGAACAATACCCTCTAATCTAAGGCATCCTCTCCAAATCCCACTGAACAATATCCTCTAATCTAAGGCATCCTCTCCAAATCCCACTGAACAATACCCTCTAATCTAAGGCATCCTCTCCAAATCCCACTGAACAATATCCTCTAATCTAAGGCATCCTCTCCAAATCCCACTGAACAATACCCTCTAATCTAAGGCATCCTCTCCAAATCCCACTGAACAATACCTTCTAATCTAAGGCATCCTCTCCAAATCCCACTGAACAATATCCTCTAATCTAAGGCATCCTCTCCAAATCCCACTGAACAATACCCTCTAATCTAAGGCATCCTCTCCAAATCCCACTGAACAATACCCTCTAATCTAAGGCATCTTTTCCAAATCCCACTGAACAATACTCTCTAATCTAAGGCATCCTCTCCAAATCCCACTGAACAATACCCTCTAATCTAAGGCATCCTCTCCAAATCCCACTGAGGCACAGGAGCGACACTAAGGAGGGGGTCACGGAGCTTCCTGAGGGAGATTCGCCTCCTGAACCCTGGGCAGATCCTCCCCACCTTGGGATCTCTGTGAACCTCTGGGGTCTTCTATTCAATCAGGACCAAGTTGTGAGGTGGGATTCCTTCCAGGCTACAGTCTCCCCTCTCCCTCTTTCAATTTCATCAAGACAGATCAGAGGTTTGCGGGTGGAAGTCATGGCATCTCCTCCACAGCCCCTGGCTGTGCAGATGGACGAGACCACAGTTCCTGGATGGAGTAAATCTACTGGGAGCCTGGGTTCTCCATCACGAGGTTGTCCCGTCATCAGCCCCACAAGAAGGGGAACTGCCCTCTCCAGGAGCCTGGCTTTCATTTCCCCAAGGCTGGGACTGGGGCAGGCACCAGGCTGTCTTCAGATATTTCATACAGAAATGGTATCTCCCTGACCCTTTTCTGCGATTTGCCTCATCTGTCCTCATCTCATCAAGGGTCAGGACACAGGACACAGCACCTTTCTGAGTCTGTCCTGTCCAAGTGAGAGTGACTGGGGGCTTTTTCTTCTTCTCAGAGCCTCCCCGTGGGGTCTCCTTCCCTCCTTCAGCCCGTCCATCAACACAGCATTGCGGGATCCTTACCATGGCATCCAGCCCTGGAGATGCTTCAGGAAAGTTGCAGGTCCATGCTGCAGGACAGGCTCAGATCAGCAGAGACGCATCTCACATCGGGCTGTGAAATTCAAGTTGAGCTGCAATTGGCAATGAGAAAAAAAGGAGAAATAAAGAAATGCTGACTCTTCTTTTGTCTTTGGAGTATGGGTTTTATTTCTTCCAGTTTCCTTCTTAGACTTCCCTTCTTTTTTTCTTCCTATTTTTTAATAGCGTTCAGCTCCCCTTCCCTTAAAAGTAACCTCTGAGTCATTCCTGCCTCCTCGGGGTCCCTCCCACCCCCAGCCCCGCTTCCTTGGGCATTCCCCTGCATCTCAGTCTGCCTTCAAGGTTTTGGGAACAAGTACTTGTCTTGAGCTCTGATTTGGCGGTGGGATAGGGAGTTAATTTTTTCTGAATTGCTCACCTTCATCCCTGCGTGCATGACCTTGGGCAGTAAGTCCCATCTCTGAGCCTCGGTTTCCTCATTTGGAGCCTGTTGTCATGAACCCCCCTCCTGAGTGGTTTTGGGGGCCAGTGGTGCCTGGGTCATGGGAGGGCCTCAGTCATGGTACATTTCCAGACCGGGTTAAGTCTTGAGGGGCTGAAACATGAGTGGATCCTGGTGTTGGACTGCACAGTCACGGTGAGCAACTTAAATGCTCAACAGCCCACATCTGCTCCTAACATTGGGAAAACCTACTTATAATGTGTCTGAAATATGTAGCCATGGTCCGATGAAGAAAATGAGAAATGAGACTTCCTGTCATAGGCAGGAAACCTTAAGAAGCAGAAGAGGCCAGAGCCGAGCGGCTGCTGGTGACTTGCAAAGTCTGGGGGTCACTAAGGGGGAGGTTTCTGCCTCTGTATGAGACAGAGGAGAACCCCAGGCCCTCACAGACAGGGAGGGGTCGGGGTTTTGGATGAAAGTGAGAAGTTGTGGCTCCTTCTCCCCTGTGTTTGTGGATGGCACTGGGATATCTCTGCTCATTGACTCAGGTCCATGGTCAGCCCTGAGCCGCCTCCTCCATGTGTGTGAAACAGATTCACTGCAGCGTTGTCACACATGGGCGTCTGTCCCACATGCGAGTCTGAGGCTCACACTGGACCTTCCCTGCTGGTTACAGCCCTGAGTAGACTCATGTGGCACTGGCAGCTGGAACCATCTCCCCTTTTCCAGCCTTAACTCCCAGCACAGCCCTGGTGGAAACCCTCTCTGGAAGATGAGGCATGTGGGAAGCATGTGTCCAAAAATGACAAGGAGGAGGAATTATCCCAATGATCAAAAGTGCTATGATAGGCCGGGCACCGTGGCTCATGCCTGCAGTCCCAGCACTTTGGGAGGTCAAGGCGGGCGGGTCACTTGGGCCCAGGAGTTCAAGACCAGCCTGGGCAACATGGCAAAACCGCATCTCTACAAAAAATACAAAAATTAGCTGGATGTGGTGTCATGAATAATGGCCTCCAGCTCATCCAGGTTGCTGCAAAACTCAATCCCTTGTACATCAGTTGCAAAAATTAAAAATATCTAAGTATATACCTAGCCGAGGAGGTGAAAGATCTCTACAAGAAGAACAACAAAATGCTGCTGAAAGAAATTGTAGATGACACAGCAAAATAGAAATATATCCCATGCTCATGGATTGGAAGAATCAATATTGTGAAAATGATCACACTTCCCAAAGCAATATTTAGATTCAATGCAATTCCCATCAAAATATCAACATCATTTTTTTCACAGAATTAGAAAAAACAATCCTAAAATTCATATGGAACCAAAAAGAGGACGAATACCAAAGCAATCTTAAGCAAAAAGACAAATGTAAATTTAATAAACATATCCTAGGCTGAATTGTGAGGGGTTGTTTTTGCTTTTGTTTTTGTTTTTGTGTGAGACAGAGTCTTGCTCTGTCACTCAGGCTGGAGTGTAGTGGCACAATCTCTGCTCACTGCAACCTCTGCCTCCCAGGTTCAAGCAATTCTCCTGTCTCAGCCTCCCGAGTAGCTGGGATTACAGGTGCTTGACACCATGCCTGGCTAATTTTTGTATTTTTAGTAAAGACGGGGTTTTGCCATGTTGACCAGGCTGGTCTCAAACTCCTGACCTCAAGTGATCCGCCCGTCTCGGCTTCCCAAAGTGCTGGGATTACAGGCATGAGCCACCGTGCCCGGCCTGAATTGTGGGTTTTTAAATGTTATTTTTATATTATATAATTTTTAACTCATTAAAAAAATACAAGGAAGTCTGTCCTGGAAACAAAAAAAAAATCCTAAAATTATTTATTTGTAAAAATGCAAATTATTTCCAATGGATTTGCATGCTCACTGGGATTGGACCTTCCAACAGCAAATTCAACACCAGGAGATACTAAAGAAAGGCCTTCAGAAATTCATGGTGAAGATTTCTGTGTTAATCTAAATTATTAAAGACAAAGGCAAACGACCTGTCGGCAGCTTGTCTCACACATTAAACCCAGCATGTCAGGCTTCATCTTGAGGAACGGGGAGGGATTGGCAGTAGACGCCTTAACCATTACATGTACTTTCCCTTCTACATCTTTTCCCTTATGCTTTATTTAATATAATTCAGGACAAAGACTTTATTTAATATAATTCAGGACAAAGATGGGCAAAGACTTCATGACGAAATCACCAAAAGCAATTGCAACAAAAGCTAAAATTGACAAATGGGATCAAATTAAACTAAAGAGCGTCTGCACAGCAAGAGAAACCATTATCAGAGCGAACAGACAAGCTACAGAATGGGAGACAATTTTTGCAATCTGTCCATCTGACAAAGGTCTAACATCCAGAATCCACAAGGAACTTAAACAAATTTACAGGAATAAAACATTAATAAGTGGGCAAAAGGCATGAGCAGACACTTGTCAAAAGAAGACATTCATGTGGCCAGGAAACATGGAACAAAGCTCAACATCACTGGTCATTAGAGAAATGCAAGTCAAAACCTCAATGGGATACCATCTCACACCAGTTGGAATTGCGATTATCAAAAAGTCAAGGAGAAACAGATGCCGGTGAGGTTGCAGAGAAATAGAAATGCTTTTACACTGTTAGTGGGAATGTAATTAGTTCAACCATTGTGGAAGATGGTGTGGTGATTCCTCAAAGATCTAGAACCAGAAATACCATTTGACTCAGCAATCCCTGGGTATATACCCAAAGGAATATAAATCATTCTATTACAAAGATACATGCATGCATATGTTTTTTGCAACACTATTCATAGTAGCAAAGACCTGGAATCAACCCAAATGCCCATCAATGATAGACTGGATAAAGAAAATGTGATACATATACACCATGGAATACTATGCATCCATAAAAAGGAACAATATCATGTCCTTGGCAGGGACATGGATGGAGCTGGAAGCCATTATCCTCAGCAAACCAATGCAGGAACAGAAAACCAAACACTGCATGTTCTCACTTATAAGTGGGAGCTGAACAGTGAGATCACATGAACACAGGGAGGGGGACAGCACACACTGGGACCTGTTGGAGGAGGGTGAGTTGGGACAGGGAGAGGATTAGGAACAACAGCCAATGCATGCTGGGCTTAATACCTAGGTGATGGGTTGACAGGTGCAGCAAACCACCATGGCACATGTTTACCTGTGTAACAAACCTGCAGATCCTGCACATGTGCCCCAGAACTTAAAATAACAACAAAAATTTTAAAAAATTTACAAATCTTGATACAGAGTGAAAGGGAAAGGAAGGTATTTCCAGAGCCACAATTAAAAAAAATTTTTATTGTTTCACACTTAGTGAAAGCAATTCTAAATGATGTAATTTAATTGGAAGATCAAAGAATCCAAAACATACAATGCGATATCCTCAAGGGAGGAAAAATGGGAAAAACCACACACTGAAACACACACACACACACGTGAACATGCACCCTCATAGTTACAGACATGGGTGAGTACACAGAATGGAAAAACCACATACTGAAACACACACGAACATGCACCCTCATAGATACACACATGAGTGAGTACTCAGAGCTCAGCTAATGTGTAATTTGAGCCCGTTTTCTCTACAGGGACAGGAGAAATGAATCCTTTTTCAAAAATATAGAATTGTTTTTGTAACTTGGCAATTGTGAATAGTGCTGCAATGAGCTTAGGAGTGTGGACGTCTCTTCTGTGGCCGATTTCATTTCTTCTGGTATACACCCAGCAGTGGGCTTGCTGGATTATATGGTGGTGGCATGTTTAGTTTTTTGAGGAGCTTCCATACTGTTTTCTAAAATGGCTGTGTTAATTTACATGTCCACCAATGGTGTGTAAGGATTTTTTCTCCTCATGCTCACCAACACTGATCTTTCACCATTCTGATAATAGGCAATCTAACAGCTGTGAGGTGATATCTCACTGCAAAATTTCACTTTCTACACATATATGTGTATACCTGTGTATACATATATACATACAATACACATGCATATATATGTACATACGTATCTGCACATATGTACGTATGGATGTTTATGTATGAATACATACATTTGCATATATACATATAGGCATATACTTACATACATATAAACTTTAAGAAGCTATAACCTCACATCTGTTAGGATGGTTACTATGAAAAAGAGTAGAATAACAAGTGTTAGCGAGAATGTAGAAAAAATAGAACCGCTGCCCTCCGCTAGTGGTAATGTAAATGAGTACAATGACCACAAAAATACTATAGATGTTTTTCAGAAGTTAATGATCAGAGCTACCCTGTGTTTCAACAATTTCACTGCTGGGTGTGTATCTAAAGGAAATGGAATCAGTACGTTGAAGAGATGCCCGCCCTCCCATGTTCATGACAGCTTTAGCCACCATAACCAAGACATGGAACCCGGCCAAGCGTCCATCAGCAGGCGAATGGATACAGAAAATGAAGCGCTCAGTATAAACACAGCGAAAAACTATTCCGCCTTCTAGAAGAAGGAAATTGTTTCATTTGTGACAACATGGACGAGCCTAGAGGACGTCACGCTACGCGGAATAAAGAAGGCACGGGAAGACACCTGCTGCCTGATCTCACTTATGTGCGGATTGCCCCAGTTGAACTCATGGAAGTAGAGAGTAGAAGGTGGTCCCCGGGAGCTGGGCTGGGGTGGAATCAGAGAGCTGCATCGAAGGATACCGCACTTCAGTTGGACAGGAGGAGTAAGTTTAGGAGATCTGTTGTACAGTATGGTGACTACAGTTGCTAACAATGGATTGCATACGCGAAAATTGGTAAGAAAGTGGATTTTAAATGTTCTCTTAACAGAAAGATAACTACGTGATGTTACAGATGTTAATTAGCTTGACCTAGCGATTTCACAGGCATATTAAAATACCATGTTGCACATCCTAAATATGTAGAATTTTAAACTGCCAAATAAAATAAAGTAAAACATTAAAATAAAATTTAAAAAAATATTATTTTGAAACAGAAAAACTGTAGAGTTTAAAATATGCCTGTTATAGAATGGAAAATTCTATTTTATATGTCATGACTTTTTTTTTTTTTTAATTTTTTGAGACAGAGTCTGGCTCTGTTGACCAGGCTGGAGCGCAGGGGCGGGATCTCAGCTCACTGCAGCCTCCATCTCCTGGGATCAAGTGATTCTCCTGCCTCTGCCTCCCAAGTAGCTGGGACTGCAGTGTGCGCCACCATGTCTGACTAATTTTTGTATTTTTAGTAGAGATGGGGTTTTGCCGTGTTGGCCAGGCTGGTCTTGAACTCCCAGCCTCAAGTAATCTGCCGCCTCTGCCACCCTATGTGTTGAGATTACAGGCGTGAGCCACCGCACCTGGGCACATTGCCACTTTTTCTATTCTCAAGAAACATTTGTGATGCTCTGGGTGTGTTTGTGTGTTTCATTAGTGTGTCAATATTTGTAAGAAATCACCAATGAAGCTTCGTGAACTCGAGATTATTTTTATTATAGTCAATGTTTTTCACACACACACACATATATATACACACACACACACATCTAAAATGAGTCAGATTCTCTGATTACTCTTATGTTCATTATGTAAACTCCAGTTTAGAATATTTCATCTATTTAATCTGCAATTTCTAGTATATTGGCATAGGTTTGCCGCCTGTTCCATTGTTAGTTTTGGAAAACGTGTGTACGATCTGTAGGGCTGTCTGCTGGCTCACTCCCATATGGAAATGCATGCCTGCTCTTTCTTTCTCTTTTTCATTGTAGTTAGAATTCATGAGTGTGATTCATGTTTTCAAGAATGAGCTTCACTGGCTTTGTTGAATTTTCAAGCTTTGGTTTTTCCTCATGAACAACTCCTCTTATTATTGTTATTATTCCCTTTCTTACGCCTTCATTTGGAATAACTTGTTATTCTTCTAAATTTCTTTTTTCTCTTTTTCTTTCTTTTTTTTTTTTTTTTTTAATTTGAGATGGAGTCTCCCTCTGTCGCCAGGCTGGAGAGCAGTGGTGCGATCTTGGCTCACTGAAACCTCTGACTCCCTGGTTCAAGCGATTCTCCTGCCTCAGCCTCCCAAATAGCTGGGATTACAGGCACTGCCACCACATCCAGCTAATTTTTGTATTTTTAGGAGAGACAGGGTTTCACCATGTTGGCCAAGATGGTCTCGATCTCCTGAACTCGTGATCTGCCCGCCTCGGCCTCCCAAAGTGCTGGAATTACAGGCGTGAGCCACCGTGCCCTGCCCTAAATTTCTTATAGGAAAGCCAAGATCATTCATTTCCTACTTTTTTTCTTTCCTAATTCATTCATTCGTGGCTTGTAGTTTTCCAGTTTCATCGCTTGATGTGTAATATTTACATTGTGATTCAGTTTAATGCACTTTCTGACTTAGTTTTCTCAGCTACTTCATTGATTATTGAGAAGTCTGTTGCTTTATTTCAAAATTGTAGAGACATTAGTTATTTATACTGCAGAATTGAGTGACCCCTAAAAGTTCCCAGAGTCTCCTGGGGTAGATCCAGGCTGGGTGGGGTCCAATGGTGTCCACTGGGGGGGCAGCTCCCATGCATTCCAGACTCCATGGAGTGTGGGGTCTGCGTCCCCCCCTGGGCTAGTGGATGGCCAGAGTGGCGTAGATGCTGGGCACAGCTGGAGAGGGCCCTTCCTGGGATGGAGGAGGCTCAGTTGCCTCCCGTCTGAGGGTCAAGCTGTGCAGCTGGGCGTAGGTCACATCCTGGGGGGCTTCAGATGCAGCAGCCTGCAGCGGGGGAGAGTGAGAGGGAAGGAACGTGGTGGGGGTGGGGGAGGCCTGGGGGCCTGGAGAGGAAAGGACTCACCTCAGTGTCCATCTGCCTGTCCTCTTCCGCCTGTCTGTCCTTTGTGTCCAGGAATTC